>NC_000004.12:132860774-133163805 GCF_000001405.40 Homo sapiens | reverse complement strand
TTCGTTCTAGCTTATAAGTTCCACAGTTATTTTTGTAGTAGATGAAATAAAACATTACGTAGGATGGATCTGCTATGTAAGTCATCTTTTGATTGAGTTGTTATGAGTTTTATCTTTATCAAACATTATTTATGTAGTTTGACCAAGATATTGAATTGCCAGTAATATTTATCCATTAACTAAAAGAAAAATATTTCTATTTCTCATTACCAAGATCCTCAAAGGAAATATATTATGGAATCTCAAAGCATTTTTATTGTTTGCAATGATTATATAAAATAATCAATTTGGAGAATATAGTCCTATATTTTGAAAGAGCTCAGTGCAATTATTAATGTCTCAATGTTAGAGGAATCTATTATTTTAAATAAAGAATATTGCCCTAAAGTGCTGCCAGCATCCAGTCACTTTTATCTTTATTTCTTAAAAAAACCTGAACTCCATTTTTACCAAAAAGAGTGGAATGTTGAACTTTATCTCCTCAAAGGGAACACTTTAACAGAGCCCTTTGTGTAATACTTACTCAAATATGGTGGTTTGTAAGGCGCTCGCGTATTAGTCAGCAGTCCATCCAGCTCCTTCCTCTCCAGAGTGCTGTGAAGGGCCTTCTCTTTGCCAAAGGTGGAAAAGGACCGCTCTGCCCCAGGCTGGGCTTCTGGAGTTTCAAACACCTCAGTGTCTGGAACAGAGTCCATGCCAGGAACATGCAGATTGCTGCGATAATCAGCAGCCTGGCGTCCATCAGAAGGGACAAAAGAAGGCATCCAGCACCGATCTGAGTGGCCCAGAGCTTTACATTCCTCAGTGCAATTGGAGAAGAGATCCATACCTGTAAGCAGAAAACAGAAACTACGGATGTAGTCTTCACCAACATGACCAGTTACTTAGCAGTGTAAGATTACAGGTAGCATAAAGGGTGACAAGTGAAGTTGTCTTAACAAATTTTTCCTGGCTTATCCTGACAGGAACCAAATATTATTTTGTCTCATTTTTGTTCATCACTTTAAAAAGGGAAAATGATCTGCAAATGTAAAAGATAAGACTCTTCTGGCAAAGAGGCCTCTGAGATAAATGTTTCTAAACTACTTAGGGTATTGGGCAAAATATTGGCTCTAAACAATTTAAATAACTGGGAAATGGTGAATAAAAATGGTAGACATCTTTTAAAAAATCTCTTGTGAAGTTCATAACAGATAAAACAACAAGGTGTAAAAGCTTTAAAATCCATGATCCCTAACAATGATAAATATTTGACTTTTTTCCTTAAAAACAAATAACATAAGAAATATGCCAAGCACCAAAAATGATATTTAGATTATGAAATTTGAATATGAAGCAGAAAGTGAAATTCAACAGAAATGTGGCATACACAGAGGAAAATCAGTAAAAAACAAGAATAAAACACAATTTCATTAGCAGCTAAAAGCATATTTTCCGAGGTTTCTAGGAAATGACTTCCTAAAGGTATTCCTCAATGACACTCTGGTAGTCCATATTACTAAAAACCACTTATTATTTACCACCTTAGACAAATCCAGAACAAATGACTGTAATTAATGAAACCAAGGTAACCAAATGCAGTGTAAATCAACTGCAGATACTATTGACAAATACGTTATTACTTGCTCTATATTGGAACACACTTGTCCTAGTCAACAAAGAGTTGTTTGCTTACTAATCCTATAATACCAAGATTTCAAAGGACAAGTTCAAATTTCATTGTCTTCCTTAGATTGACAAGATTACAAATATTATCTGATTATGATCAAGAAAGGTCATTCAGTTTCTTAAGCAAAGCATAAGAATTTTCAAGCACTACAGAATACTATTTGATATTAATGCTGATATATATAGCACTACACAGAAAAACACATAAACAAAAATAGCATTTTAATGTTTTTCTAAACATAGTAACATATCTATCAGATATTTTAAAACAGGGCCAAAGCAATCTCAACCTATTCTCAAACTTTAAATGGCTAAGAAGCTCCCCAGCTCACTGGCATGGAGCTGGGTGTGGAATGACAGTGCCTAGTAGGCCACTTTATTTTTTAAATAATATTTTAAAAAAAGAAAAAATAATAAAAAAATTTTAAAAGAGGATCAATTTGAAAAACAAAAGTATATTATTAGTCTGTAGAAAAGAAACTCGAATCCATGCACAGTCTGGAAAAACATTTTTTAAATCAAAAGAATATTTATTTAATGAACATACTTGATTGTTACTTCTATTAATATCACAAGTGATTTGAGCTCTTGAGCAAGTTTTAGTTTTTAAATTCCTGATAGTATTCTGTTACATATTGATTTATATATATTTGTGTATATGTTATCTGCATATATAAAATAAAATAATTTTTCAAAATTATGAACACTCTGGTTTGTCTAACACTATCTAGATTATCTAGATTATCTAATACTTAACTCTAGTATTTTGGAGTTAAGAATAGCAAATTACATAAATTTTAAAAAGTAACACCAAGCTTCTTATCATATATTAATCTCACTGCGTAATGACTTTTTTAAAATTTTATATTAAACTATGTAGAATGCTAAGTCTGACTTTGATTATAATATTTCACTGATAATTTTCCTGTTTAAGTCTGGAAATAAATTACTGATCAGTGAACTGTTGAGGAACGGAAACGTCAGCTGAAGCTGGGATTAAGGAATCTGACTGAGAACAGCATGTAAAACATGTAAATGTTTCACTAGACACCAGAGAAGCTCACTCCTTTATCCTAATTTTGCAAGAAGATATGTGAAAAGAAAAAAAGAAAGGGAACTAGAATGTCCCTGATACACATTTACATACTAACTAGGTAGAGGCTACAGAACCAGAGAGAAGATTGATACTTTGACATGATAAGTGCTGCCTATTTATTAATAGAATGATGGGGGAACATAGATTTTTTTAATAGTAGAAACGTCTTTAAGAGTAAAATTATTATGAGCCATTATTTATTTCTAAAATAAAAATATACTCAATTTGAATAGCTGATATAATTACATTCCAATATACATTAGAACTAATATCATTTTTCTTCACGACGACTAAATATCATTTTCTAGATAAGGCAATATACAACCTTTCACATATTTTTTTTGCACCTAGGCCCAACTACTCTTCTAATTGTGAATATGACGATTCCACACATAATTTTAATAATCTAGTATGTCAACATATATTAGGATACTGCTTGATTTTGGTAGAAATTACTTTTACGTAGTTTTTACTCCAATGTGCCTATTTTCCTATCTGGCAAGTATGTTTTTCTTCTGCCTCTTTCGATTATTTGAGTTTGGTTAAAATTTCCTTAGATTATGTAGTAAAGTTCACACAAGTTGAGAATCTGTATTAAAAATAAACTATAGCATGTGCATGGCAAAAAAAAAAAAGTGAGGATATAGAAAAAGTTTTTTGTTCAATGAACAGTATCACTCTACAGAGGCAATAAACATGTAAATAATGTTCTTAATAAATCTATGAATTAATCCTTTTAAAGTGGAAGTCCTTTAGTAATAATATACAGCTTCATATAACTAGAAGGAAAGGTAAGGTGGCTCAAATTGTACATAAATGTTTCACCAGTATTATTGATAAGTGTACCTATTTCTCAGGAAGAAAAATCAGACATAGAAACAAACATTTAAAACAACGTAAATAGTAAATCAATAAACTTCAGATAAGTAACAGAAAAATTAATTAAAAATTGATTTTTTCATTTGTTATGTAGTTATATAGTTTGAGAGCTACATAAATTTATTCCATTACGATTCCTCACCTTTGGAAGATACTGTATAACTAACATTTTATCTTTTATCTCCTGTCCCTAGTCCCATTAAATATAGCACTTTAATTACCAAGTAAGCAGAGGCATATTTAAGTTTTGTTGTGATAAATGACTTTATGATGCACAGGGATGCCAGATATTACAGTAGCTAGGATATATTAAAATGCATAACTTTAACACTGCTCTTACAATTTTTTAATAGCTCAAATTGGCAGCTCAAAAGTTAATAAGTTTAACTTAATTTTTCTTTTTCTCATTCAAATGCCTTACTATGGAAACTGTGGGATTTTAGAACAGAAAATTACAGACCAAAACTCAATTAAATTAAAAAAACAATTAAATAGACTTTAGGGATACAAGTGCAATTTTGTTATGGTGGTGTAGTCTGGATTTTTAGTGTAACCATCACCTGAATAATGTAAATTGTACTCATTAGATAATTTCACATCCCTCACCTGGCTTCAGTCTTCCCACCTTTCAGAGTCTCCAATGTCTATTATTCCAAACCTCAGTTTTGAAATTTTGGTAATATCTAATAAATGTTTCAACATATACCTTTTACTTGCAATCTCTTTTTCTAGTTATTTATTTTTTCCACTTTTCAGAAATAATCTGTTCTGCAAGGGATGATAGCTGATGTGATAGACTGCCTGTTATGCAAAGATATATTTAGACAAATTTTAAAGTACATGGTTTTCAACTGGCAAGTAACTTGTCCTGTACACTCACAGGCAGTGGATATTTCCATTGAGACCAAATTGTGATTTCAAAAATTTTAGAATTCAATTTGTGCTACTTTTTCGGTGACTGTCATAATACAATATTGCGTGAACATTTCTTTTTGTGCAACAAGCTTTCATTCAAAGCGTTTATTTTTTTCCAAATATGATAAATTAATTTTAAAGAAGATATAAAACTTTTCATTTTTTGAGATTTCTAGTCCTCTTTTAACGACTTAAAATACATTAATTGTAACCACAAAAATTGCAGTATGTTTTAGAAAAACATGGTTTTGAAGCAGATAGTTATTAACATAACTCACTCATGAAAAAAATCAAAATATGCCCATCAAAATTTTCTCCCTACCAATAATCTTTCAAAATGTATATATTTTTCACCATTTCCTCTCAATATTTCATCTTCTATATTGCCTCCAGTTATAAATCTCTGCACATTTTCAAGTTGCAGCTCAAAGTTTCACCAGTGAATAAGGTTTTATAAATACTGGTGTAAATCCATTTTATATATAAACCCAAAATCAAACTTGGCAATTATCTAAATTCTTAATGGAGTTTGGAAATAGGTATTTGTGTTTATAATAAACCAAGAATTCTATTGCTGACACTGTAGTAATGCACTGGCTTAATGCATTTCAATGGTATATTTTATCTACTAATTTGAAATTATTGACCAATCAAATCACTTTATTTTTAAAATTCATAGCCAAATTTTGACCATGCATTATATCTATAATTAGTTAGAAACTAAACATATTTGGAAGATAAGTTCTCCTATAACTGAAAGAAAAAATTATTGAAGAGAAATTTGACAATTTTCAGAGAATGTCTAACAAGTAATTCAATCACTTATTAGGATTATCTCTTCAACATATTTTTTTAAAGGCACAAGGTATTAAAAATAAATCTATAATTAAGCTTAGCATTATTGACAATGTAGGTATTTTATAACGGGAAAAGCAACCTCTCACTACTAAACAGATCACTTTAGATATACCTCAAATAATATTAAAATGTTTAAGAATATACAATTTAAAATATTCTATCTGTATCCTAAAATAGAAGAAATAATTATGCTTTAATGATATAATAAAGTTGAAAATATATTTCTTTAAAGTCCAATTCTTTGGCTGTTTAAGCTGTGATTAATCAGTTTTTCCTCTTGTGATGGTTTATGTCTGCATTTGCCACTTCTCCTTGGACTACTGCCATATCTAACCAATACATCAATAGTTCACTGAAAAAAACGGGAAGCACCTTGACAAGGCTATAGAAAGAAAGTGCCACAGAGCAGTGGTCAAGGCGAAGAATTTCACACATGGAGCCAGGTGCAGTGGAAAACTGAAAAAGCTTATGTGATTCTCTGTGCAGCTGCCTTCGTGTTTAAAGCCCTTCTATGAACAACATTGGTGACGGCAAATGGCTTAGAAAAAAGAAAAGCAAGAAGGAGGGGGTGGAAGATAGAACAAAAAAAGAAAACTATTCATAAAAGAATAAATAGAAGGCATATCTAAATAAATAATACAGAATAATGTTAATGTAGAAAAAGAAATAGGAATAAAGAAAAAGGAAGTTTAAACAGGTGAAGCACTAAGCTAAATAGTCTGTACACTATAGTGTGGAATATGGTACAAACTGAAAGAGAGAATTCGGAGTCTCTATCTTTCCAATGTTAGTTTTGCTTGATAATCTAACTTTTCCCTACTAAAACCTAGTTAAGTGAGATTTGCTTATTATAACACAAGGTTTTTTTCCTATCCTGAACTTAGAAAGCTATGCTATGAGTAATATTACCTAATTTTGCAAAATTGGAAAATCATTAATATCTGGCTTTACAATGAAATAAAACAGATTTATCTGAAATGGGCTTAAATTTTTGGAAATAGTCTAGCTGCCTGATGTGAGGTTTATAGTACATAACAGCAGTATGGATTGAAAAAAGTCTTTAAGCAAATGCATTTTAATTCTCTGCATTTGAGGTTTTATACTTAAAAAAGAAAACACTTCAAAATTATTCTTACAATAAAATTAGACATTAAATCTGATTGCAATTCAGCACACAAAGGTGCAATCACTTCTTAACATAAGTGCTTTATTACAATCCTAAAATAGCTATTATTGTGCCCAGTATGTTGTGGCTGCCGTGTAACTACTAATAAGATACATAAAAGGATTGTTAATTCTGTAACACTTTTACATGTTTAAGAACTTAAAGATACAAAAAAATTTTAACATTTTGATAAAAACAAAAACTGCCTGGCTGAAATGTTTTCCACAACACATTTTAACATTTTAGTATTCTTTTAAATGCTTTGACATCTCCAATAATTTGAAAGAAACATTACAGAAATGGTAACACTGAGTGACTGTGAAATAAAGTAGCTACTGGGAAGATGCACTGATAAGAATATGTTCTCATCTATCTTCCAAATTTGGCTCTTTTGCAGATGTTTATTCATTTCTCTTTCTTCAGTTAGGTTATTATGGGTCATTATGTCTGAGGGACTAAACTAATTGAAATGTTCATTGAGATTGAAGTGCTACAGGAAAAACAAAGCGGGGCGTGTGGGGTGGGAAAGGAGTAAAATGCATCCAAAGAAACATGCAACAGATACTCTTTAAAACATTAAACATTTTGTTTTAAAAGTTTTAAAAGGTTGACAGTTAAATTAGAAACTCTGAAAAAGAACAGGAATGAGCAATGCTAAATGTACAGTTTTTAAAGATAACAATAAATCATATGCCATATATAGGGCAAAAATGAAAGGGACTTTGTACGCACATATAAACTTCTGGCAAGATCTGGTTTGTTGTCAGGTTCCCAGACACTAAATAGATGCTCTGTTCACTTAGCGTGAAGGCCCGCAAGGGGCAGAGACCTCCGGGGATTCTTGGCAGTTCTCAAGTCTCATTAGGCCTGCATATTAATGACTCACAGCAATATAAAGAGACCCTTGAGCAGCCTTTTTTCCCTTCCTCCTGCCTGGGTTTCCCAAGGCTAAGGCAGCCACAGACACAGCACACATTAGCCAAGTGAGAGGCTTGTAGCAACCACTGCTGCCAGGCCACCATGGGGTGTACGCTGCCCTTTGACACACTGCCTCAGCACCATCCAGAGGTCCACAAGTGTGTTAAGGAATGGGTGCTCTCGAGGACTAATATCACCTTGAAAATGAGAACCTATCACTCTATGGTTATATTATTAAGTAAAATAAAGGTCCAGTCTCAAGAGAGTTGAACCCAAAGACAGTCTAAGATCGACATTTTCAGGAGTTAGAAAAGTTGACTAGCCTTTCTATTTCTTCATGTGTCAAATAAACACAAAACTAGATAGAAAAAGTAAAATATTCAACAAACACCCTTCAAAGATGAAAACCAAAAAATTAGGAAGGACACCAGAAGTTTATTAAATCATTTTCATTTTAACATACATATTTTATTTCATGTAAGAGTTTCCTTTTAGTATTAGTAATAAGAGTTACCAGGATCTCATAAAACTTGACTTTCTAAAAAGAAAAGTGAAATAAAATGAATATATAGCACATTGAAACCTATCAGTGACTACCATCAAGCCCACAAACAAATATACTCAGAGTTCACCTTTTGATGTGTCATGGACCCTGTTGAAAATATGAAGAAACCAAGGACACTTCAAAAAATACACATTATCACATATTACCTAACGTTCTGAAGCCTAAGACTCAAGATTAGAAACTCTGTTTTCAATCCATTAATGACTTTTAATCACCATTACTTTTCTCATTCAATACTTGGTGGTGTGTAAAATGCATTGCCCTGGAAAACAAGAAATGTGGATTCTAGTCTTCAATCATCCATTTATCTTCTTGTGACCTTGTGCAGGTCAATCAATTTTATTTATCTTCAGTTATCTCATCCATAAACAAGTTTAAGAATACCTTAATTGACTGAAGACTGGTAACTGGACCAAGTGAGAGAGCTATGTCTTTCTGTATGCAATGTGTCCATTAAAGAACATTACATAAGCAAGATATATTTCGTATTCTGACACTCTCTACAATGAATTCCTAACATTAACTCTCCAAAGGAACATTGCATTTTTACAATTCTCTTTAAGTCTGCAAATATCAAAGTAGAGTGACACTATTTTTCTGTAGAGTTACCAGCATTAGACCTATGGAAAATTGCCTAGGACATCATCCTTCCTACGTTTATTTTTAAAAACAAAAACTATAAAAGTTAGCATTTAGATTGCCCTTTGATCACACTTACCAGCTGACTGGGCACGGTTGGTGGCATCATGATCACTATCTCCCTGTTCACTGTCTCCATGACCACTGTCCTTAGAGCTTACTATGTCGGCTTCCTGGAATGCAGAACTAGAAGTACAAAAATGTGAATATTAGAATAAAAAAGGTGAAGAAACACAGAAAACATTCTTCTGCCACCACATGGTCACAGATGGTGCTGCAGACTCACAGACCTCTTAGTTGGCTTTGTTTCTGCATAAAGCTAGTTTTTATAGCCTAAGCTTAACTATTTAAAAATGATCGATTAACAGTCATTTTGAGCACTTAAGTCATGTAAAGTTTAGGCATTACTCTATAATTGGAGCTAAATACATGTTTATATCATTTTCATAAAATAGATATAAATATACATTTGGAACAGTGAGGAAGACTATCGGAAGCTGTGTAGGAGTGTAAATTGACAAAATATTCAAATATAGTTTAAGCGTTGTATATAAATGAAATATAATGTATAATTTTTAATGTATTGTCTAGGAAACACAATATAGTTCATATTTATGTCCTGCCTTAATTGAAAATATTTTATACATTTCAATTTTAATTTAGAATAATATACCTACTTCCTACTTTTACTAGGTTGTAAATTGTCCATTACTGCTAGGGAAAAAAAGAGTCCATACCTGTTAACTCGGCGAGGTCTGTCAACTAGATAGCTGAGCTCTGCTCGCTGGTGTTTAGTCTAGGAAAAAAATAAATAAATCAAGAGCATTTGAATGCTATGGGTTGAACTAGCAGTCTACTTTTGAGGTTAGGAACTATATCTAGCTTAAGTAATTGTATACATTTTTATGAATTTCCAAGCTCTCCTAAAACCTCATCCTAGTGATTGCTGTGTAAGGGCAGGGGAGATATGCAGGGACACTTAAATCCACATTTTAGTCACTTGTAAAGGTTAAAAAAAAATTGGCTAACTTTAAATGTGTGTGTGTTTTTTAAAGAGAAAATGCAAATGACCTCATGGCTAGAGCTCATATACTATTGTCTCTAACAGAGTCAACCTGTTTATATTCTGCTGTCTTTTCCTTCAGTGGCTTAAAAAAGTGTTTAGGTGCATACTGGTTGACACAAGAAAAACAGCACGCTCAATAAGCAAAAAGTTTGGATATTTCATGGAATTATGTTGTTGTTTATTTTCAAAATGTGCTTAAGATACAAATGAGCTGTACAAATATTCATGAAAGTCAATTAATAATATCTAAGACTCAAATAAAATAACCTGCCAGGAAAGGAGTTCATAATCCTGCCCGCCCCCCACCACCCCCATTCTTTTCCCCTCCAAAGGCCCTCTGCATTCGCCTCCCCACCTCTACCACCCACACACCTTTCCGGTCCAAGCTTTCTTTCACATAAACCAACTTTGTTCTCCCCCCAACCCCCACCCTCCGACTTTGTCACTTCTCCATCCTTTTAAAAAGAAGTCAGAATTGACAAGCCAAATTCTTTTATGAAGAAAGCCAACAGCGTGATTTATCCAAAACAGTGGCAAGAAGGTGATTATTAGCTAAAAAGATATATTTAAGACAACAATTGTTTAAGCCTTTCGTTAGTTTACTCTTAACAGGGGTTTGTGCCAACGCAGCTTCATTCAAATTCACACTGTGTGGGCGCTCGGCTTCAAGAGCGTCTGTAAATGCTGTCCAGAGCCGAACTGAAGGCTTTTTTTGCAACCCGAGTTCAGAGGAGAAGGATCTGGTAACTTGTTCACTAAAACATGAATTCGAGGTTAGACAACTGTGTAAAGTTAAACAATCTATAGCTTACTTGTACACGCGACTAAAAGCATCGTTAAACAAAGCAAAATAGAGCCAACTTTATTAATGCCTGGGACAGACGCAAAGAAAAAAGACCTTTGCCAGTGCTAGAAAGTAAGTCCCTCCTCCACATTTCCCTCTCCCTTCACGCAGTTTCCCTTCATGCCCAGGTTACTGAGAAGGGAAAGGACTGACAGGATGGAAGAGCAAAGGAGGGAGCTCCAAGGTGGCAAAGTACCAAGGGGACGGAATGAAAATAAATGTGAAAGGGTGGAACAACGCGAAAGTTAGGTTACACACGAAGGAGTGGGAGAAGGTGACCGCCCATCTCTGCTCCCACAACGATACACATAAGCTAATATCCTAAAAATAGATACAGTGCACCAGAGATACAAGGGCCGGGCTAGAGGAGGCTTTCTGATGGAGGAGATGAGAGATGGTGGTCCTTTCGCTTCAGCCTTACCTCGTTGGACAAAATGCTTCCGTTGGAGATGATATCAGGCTGCTGGTCGGTGTAACCGGTGACGATGGCCCCGCAGGGGTTGTGCTCAGTGTCCGTACTCCGCGAAGGGCTGCAGGGCTTAAGAAACATCAGGTCGGTCTTGGCGGACTCAGGGGTCAGGCATACCTGATAGCAGTAATTCTGGTTGTGGTGGTGGGAGCCAAAGCCCCCGGACTCCTCTATCGGCACCTGGGCCGGGTTACTGGGTACATTGGAGCTCTGCACCAGCATGATGTCTGACTTGCTGAGTTTCTTCTTGCGCGCCCGGGCTTGGCGGCCACAGCAGGTCGAACCTCCGCCACCGCAGCAGCAGCAGCAGAGGCAGCAATCGCTGGCCAGACAAGTATAGATGTTGAGCTTCTTCTCTTTTTGGCAACGCACGGCCAGCACGATCATGGCCAGCAGGAAGATGAAGGACACCGAGCCCAACGCGATGATGAGGATGAGGGTGAGGTCTAGCGAGGTTTCCCCGCCGCCAGAGCGACTGGGGCGCTGGTGCTCTCCTGACCCTCCGCCTCCGCTCCCGCCCCCGCCCTGGGGCTCCACGGCGCCATCCACCAGCTGAACCACCAGGGTGGCGGTGGAGGAAAGGGGCGGCTGCCCATGGTCGCGCACCTCGATCACCAGCTCATAAGGCCGCTGGGGGTCGCGCTTGGCCGGGACTCGGCGTGCTGTGCGCAGCTCCCCGGTGCGCCAGTCCATGCGAAAGAGGTTCATTTCGTTGCCACGCACGATGCTGTAAGTGAGCCGGGCGTTCTCGCCGTCGTCCGCGTCCACGGCGGCCACGCGGGTGAGCAGGTAACCCGGCTCCGCCGAGCGGGGCAGCACCTCACGCGCTGGAGTCCCGTTGCGCCCTGGTAGAGGCGCCACGATGGCAGGGGCGTTGTCATTTTGATCCACTATGAGGATGTTGACAGTGGCGTTACCAGCCAGCGCCTGGGGGCTGCCAGCGTCCCGGGCTTCCACCTGAAAACTGAAGTCCTTCAGCTGCTCATAGTCGAAGGAGCGCAGGGCGTACAAGTAGCCGTTCTCAGAGTTGATAGAAACGTAGGTGAAGACGCTCATGCCCTGGATCTGGCACTCGAGGATAGAGTAGGCAAGCTGGGCGTTGGCGCCCTCATCCCGGTCGGTGGCGCTCACCGCGTAGATGTAGGCGCCAGGCACGTTGTTTTCAGTCACATACACGTCGTAGACCGGCTGGCTGAAACGCGGCGCGTTGTCGTTCACATCCGACACTTGTACCTGGATCGACTTACTGGTGGAGAGCGCAGGCTCGCCCCGGTCCCGAGCCACTACAGTCAGGGTGTAGGAGTCCCCCGCCTCTCGGTCCAGGGGGGCTTCGGTAACGATGGTGTAGTAATTCTTAAAGGAAGACTTGAGGCGGAAAGGCACGTCTCCCAGTAGCTCGCACTGCACCTGCCCATTCTCCTCTGAGTCGCGGTCAGTCACGCTGAAAAGGGCCACCACAGTGCCGGGCGCCGCGCCCTCACTCACCGCTTCCTTCACGGTGCTGAAGCTGATCTCTGGCGCGTTGTCATTAGCATCCAGTACTCGCACTAGCACCTTGCAGTGCGCAGGCACGGCGTTGGGGCCCAGGTCCTTGGCTTGCACGTACACTTGGTACACTGGGCTCTCTTCATAGTCCAACTCGCCGCTTACCTCCAGTCTGCCAGTGCGCGGCGAGAGTCCGAAAAGCTCCCGCGCCCGGGGCGAAATGTGGCTGCTGAAGGAGTACACGACCTCACCGTTCTGGCCCTCGTCCGGGTCGGTGGCGTTGAGCTGGATCACGAGAGTGCCTGGGGGAGAGTTCTCTGGTAGGGACACAGTGTAGACGGGTTGGTCGAAAGCGGGCACATTGTCATTGGAGTCCAGCACTCGGATGGTGAGTAGGGCCGTGCCGGTGCGCTGCTGCTGGGGGGGCAGGCCTGCTCCCCCGCCACCTCCCCCTCCTTCTCCTACTCCTCCCCCACCTCCTCCGTCCACCGCGGTCAGCACGTAGCGGTGCACCGCTTGCTGCTCTCGGTCCAGTGGCTTCTCCAGCACCAGCTCAGCGAATCGGTTGCCATCCCCCTGGGTCTGCACGTCCAGGGAGAAGTAGCTGTTGGGGGTGATCTCGTAGTCGCGCAAGGAGTTGGTGCCCACGTCTGGGTCGAATGCGCTCTCCAAGGGGAAGCGAGTGCCTGGCGTGGCGCTCTCAGAGATTTCCACCGTCAGGTCTGGCTCCGGGAAAGAGGGGGGGTTGTCATTAATGTCCAGCACCTCGATCTCCACCTGGAACAGCTCCAGGGGGTTCTCCAGAAAGACCTCCAGGTGCAGGACACAGGAGGGGCTCTGTTTGCAGATTTGTTCGCGGTCTATTTTCTCGTTCACGTACAGCACCCCTGTCTCCAGGTTGAGGTCTAAGTAAGGGGTCCTTGAGTTGGGCACCGTCTGAAACCCGCGAGCCGAAAGTTTTGTAATGTCCAGACCCAGATCTTCAGCGATATTCCCCACGAAAGTGCCATGTTCCTGCTCCTCCTGTACCGTGTAGTGAAGCTGGGAAAAGACTCCTTCCACCATCCAGAGCAAGGCAAACAATAATAGCACAATCATCTCCAAAAGGAAAGGAAGTAGCTTCCCGCAGCCAGTCAGCCACCCAATCACCTCCCCCACCACCACGAAACAAAAAAAAATCTGA
This sequence comes from Homo sapiens, assembly GCF_000001405.40. Lineage (NCBI taxonomy): Eukaryota > Metazoa > Chordata > Mammalia > Primates > Hominidae > Homo > Homo sapiens. The sequence goes on along the minus strand of NC_000004.12, from coordinate 133,150,055 downwards.
AAAAATACAAATAAAAGTGCGCTACGTGGGGGCTCCTGTGGCTTTCTGTCTTTAAAAATCTTACTCCTTTTGCTTCATTTTAGAGCTTCCCGCAATCCAGCCTCATTTTTTTTTAAATCTTAGCACAGGAAGGGTGACAGGCGTCCCCTTTCCTCATCTGTAATCTTTCCACTGACTAATTAATAAAATAACAATAATACAATAGTCAGCGTCCTTTATTCCGACAGTCTTGGCGCTGGCAAATCCCAAAGAGGAAATTTCGATATTTCAAGACTGTCCTCGGTTTGTCTTCTTGCTGATGGGAGGAGAACGAGGAGGAGGAAAAAGAGGAGGAGGAGGAGGAAGAAGAAGAAGAGGAAGAGGAGAAGGAAAAGGAGATGCTGTTGGCACCGTTAAACATGCCTCTTAATGTCAACGGCTGGCAAATGCAAAAGGGCTTAAAATCAGCGATATAATTTTGTGCCGGAAAAGCACAGAACGGCTCTGCAGCTTAAAACTTTCATTCTCTTCATTTCTCCGGATGGATGTTCTTCTTGACATTTTTTTCCTCTTTCGCTCTATTTGTATTTTTTGTCTTTCAGAGTCTTGGTTCCCTCTGTCCTCATCTCCACCGTTACTTGCCTCTCTGTAAGTGTAATGAGCAGTTTCTTTTCTGCTGTTTTCTTCCCAAGCCTCTTTCCCTCTAACCTGTCTCTTTTTCCTTCCAGTCCTTCCTTCCTCCTGCTTCAGCCTCTGAGCCTGTGGTCTGGGCTGGCAGTTTCTGAGCTCCGAGCGCTCGGCTTCTCCGTTTTTGCGCAGCGCCCTCATTCTGCCAACCAATCGCCCAGGAGCACCACCCACCGAGCTGCCGATGATTGGCCAAACTGGCCGCCAAACAGACACGTCACGCGGCAGCCGGGCGGGGCGGGACAGAACTCTCGCCCGAGCGGCCGGGGTGAGTGTGAGTGTGAGAGCGAGAACAGCCCCGCAGGTCCCGAGGCGCTGGCTGGGGACAATGCCGCGGAAAGTTCCCAGTCCCCAGCCGCAGGTAATGGGGAGGGAATAGAGAGGTTCCCCTGTTTGCATCAGCAAATGCGAAAACATAATAGCAACAGCTGCGATATCCTCTCCTAGGAGCGGGATTTCCAATGATGCTAACATTCTTTTTCCTTTAAGGTATTTTCCCTAATACGCATCATGGAAATAAATCATCGAGAAGGGAAAAAGTAGCGCAGGGCCCACTAATTGGCAAGGGTTACCTAATTAAGGGACCCTAGCAGAGACTGGCAGGGCATTTTAAAAGTGAGTATTATATGGCATGTGTCAATCTAAAGGTGAGGGGGTCTGACGGGGCCGTGAGGAAAGGCGCGAAGCATACGGAGTAGGGGGTGGAGGTGACTCCTAAAAAGCGGAGGAATTCACGCTAAAGGATGTGGGGATGACAGCGCTTACAGACGGGCAGACGCGTTCGACGTGCTTCTTTCCTCCCAAAATACATATTCACAAAATACTTACCAAGTAGATTAACTCACTCGAGGACCTAGCTTCGAGCCGTGAGCGCGTTCATCAGTGACTGAGGAGTTGATTTGAGCCGCTTCCTACAAGCCCGCCATCCTAACGCCGGGCTCTGGGGCATCCGGCACACAGCACCGCCAAGCGCTGCAAAGCGCCTCTGATATCCCTGCGCCTTGTGCGGCCAAGTGCCACGCAGCGGCTGGGAACACCGGCTATTTTCTATTTTTTTTTTGGCAATTGGAGATCGATCCCTTTACCCACCATGCTAGATTAGACCACTGATTTCTGCCAATCCTGGGGTCAGCCCGCGGGATGAGGACAGTGGGGCGGCGGCGAACGCGGGCGGGGTGGTGGGCAGGGCCCGTGCACACGAGGGGCCCGAGTGTGCACCGCTGCGGGTATCTGCGAACACGTTTGCACATGCACGGTACTTGCATCCATCCTCCCTGGCCCAGGGCTTAGCTCTGTGTAAGCCCCAACGGAGCCTCCCCGAGTTCCGAAGGACGCGCTTGACCAGCTGTGAGTGCCCCTTCCGGAGGCGCAGGGGCAACGCGGCACATCCACATAGCTAGTTCTTGTGAAGTTAAAACACAGCGCGAACTCTTTAATGCTGGAGAGTGGATAGAATGCCAGTTCTCTAAGGAAAGATCTATAAATATATATTTTTAATTAATGGGCCACTAGCAAGGAATTGGTTGTTTATTCACGAAAGAAGCCCCTATTCAATCTCCTTTTTATGCAAAGAGATAGGAAGGTCCTTTGCTGCTTTCTGGTAATGAATGACCCAAGAATACACCACCACAACCTGCGGGAAAAGTAGAGTCGTTTTCCGACCTGGAGATACGTTGCCATTTCCTCCTGGCAAGGAGTTAAGGAGGGCTAGTGTCCATGGGCGTGATAGTAGCCTGAGACGTGCTTCTGAGAGTCCCGCGAATGCACGTCTACTGCCCTGATTTCCGCGCCCCAACTCCCCGCAACGCCGGGTCCCCCCGGCCCCCGCACTTGGCTCTTTCATGAAGATGGGTCCTGCCTTTGAGCGCTTAGAAGGAAAGGATTCCAGCAAAAATGGCTAATCCTTTTCCAGCTGCAGTAAATTGAAGACTGGCCAAAGCCAAGCGAAAACCGCTGCAGTTAAAATGATTTTAGCATCACGTCTGCGGCTGAGAATGGAGCGGCAGTGTATAAAGGGACCTGTGGATCAATGAAAAGGAGATTATAGTGTATCTGAATATTAATACGGTATTGCATCTGTACTTCCACCCCTCCCCCCTTTCTTTTTCTTCAGATCTGCAGAATTGAAATGAAATGTTTTGAGCTCTTCAAGCTGACTCGTCAGAATCCTGGAGCCTTTTAAAAAATGACGGTAATTTTCTAATGCGTTCATTTGTACGTATGGAAACACTTGTGTGTGTGCGCGCGAGTGCGCGCGTGTTTGCATGTGGGAGACATGCAGCTGAATGACAATGCAGATCCAGAAACTGGGGAAGAGGGTTTCTACCCCTGAAATGTAGATGAAGTTTGAGCTGACTTGGGGCATATGCTGAAAGCCAGAGAGCTTCCAGAGGTGGAGATGAGATGGCCAGATTTGCCTGTAAATAATCACTACATCCACTGTAACACTTGAGCTGCTTTTATTTTTTTTTATTTTTTATTTTTATTTTTGGTAGCAGATGTGTTTGAATGGAACTCTCTCCGCAAACGTGGGTTACAGGCGTCTCCTAGCGGCGAAATCAGCATAGGGCAGGCCAGAGAATTTTGCTTTGGAGAGCTCGCCTTTTGGGGGCTCTACAAGATTTCTTGGGTCATAGGGGTCTGTGTCCGCACCAGCGTCGCTGAGCCCAGGCCCCCTAGAGGTCTCGCCTCTCCGACTTCTAGTCTTTGTGGCGCCAGCCAGGGACCGGCGGAGTGACGGTAGGGTCTTCTTCCCGGCCGAACAGAACAGAGCCTGGTCCTCCGCCTCCCGCTAGATAGCTCCAGCCAAGGGCAATTCCAAGAGCATTTTGTTTGGAGCCAAGATCAGATAGTGGCATTAATAGCCTTCTATGCCCCTTTACCCTAGAGCCTTTAAAACAACCATGCCCCGTCACCCACAAAACAAAACAACACTTTAAATTTGCCTTTTAAAATGCCTCTAAAATGTAACAGGTTTACTTTTTCCCTTGCTGTGTCAATCAAACAGATCCCTGCCTTTCGTTTTTCTTTTTCATTCTTACTCCCGTGGACCCCAGAATTTAGTGAGATGAGGTTTGTATATACGGCAGCCTCAGTAATGAGGCTGACTACCTCTTTGAAGTGTAGAGCATCATGTATATTCTGTGTTCCTCAATCCCCCCGTTACTGGAGCGGAAAAGGAGAAGGAAATATTTTGTACGTAATCCCTTCTTCACCCTCCCCCGTCCACCCCCTAGGAGCGCAAACTGTTTGAGCCAGGACAAACTGCACCCTAAGAAACAGAGGAATAGTTTTATTATTTGGAGGGAGGTTATCAAAATCAGTTTTCATAAAAGTCCTGGTTTATATATTAGAGTGATAGTGCACATTTTTTATTTCATTGGGCTTTAAGTGCAGCAGAAACAGGGGGGCGCTAAGGATCCCACAAGTGTGTTTTACAAACTTTGAAACTGGGTTAAGGGATTGCTTTCTTCTCTGCCCTTTGCTGCAAAGGGTGGGGCAGAAACAAGTTTGTTAACCAGCCTTTGGATAAATGAGTGTTTGCAGTGATTTAACATGACTTGAAAGCAATTTGTTTCTAAATCCTCTTATTATTGCTATGTGCCCAGAGCTTTGAGGGAAGTTTTTTTTTTTTTTTTTTTTAGAATTGGAAGGAAAAATTACTTTATCAATAACCAGGCTCCACCAGGATTGACCTAGATGGTTGTTCCTGGCACTTGTCATTCTCAGCAAGCACAGCTCAGAGAACAAATACAAAAGACCCAAAGTGCATTGCATCTTTTATGGGTAAGCATGAAATAGGTTTATTTGTGGTAGTGTAATCTAACTTAAGAGGTGGGAAGACAAGGCTTTGGAACCAATGCCACAAACATTGTGTTAGTTTTTGTTCATCTATAGTAAAAAGTGAATGCTGACTGGAATTTCTGGGAAAGATTTATAGCATATGCAATTTTAAGTATTCAGGTAACTCTTTAGTTACTGTGTTTTAATCCTTCAAGCCCATCAGAGAACAAACCAATCCTTGTTCTTGGGATTGAAAATACTAGATATCCCATCAAGCACCATTATCTTGATATTGAAAGTAGAAATGTGCTTCTCCATTTTGTTTAACCTAGTTAATATTGGGGTGGCTTCACATTTCAGTGCCTTTTCAGTTATCAAGCAGGGACAACATTTTGTTAAACTCTAAACAGTGAATTAAAAGCACTGAATGAGCTGAAGCAGCCCTCTAATGCAAAATGACAAATTGCACTTAAGCAATACATGAACAAAAAATGATTTATGGATTTTTACAATGGTCTGAGCAAATGAAAGCAACATGAATTATACATCCTAATGCTCACAATATCATTTTCTAATAATACTGTTTCAGTTCAGATACTATACTCTGCTCCTTTCTGTAAGAGAAATTGATCAATAAGAGGTCCAGGAATGTTTTTAAATTGGGCACTGGTTTGTGATACTGATTCCAAAGTGTGTGTGTGTGTGTGTGTGTGTGTGTATACATATGCATATATATATGTGTGTGTGTGCATATATTTTCTTTTGGTTTTGGGGAGGTGGGTTGATGACAGACATTGAACATGCATTCTTGTCAGATTCTTCACGTATTGTGTCTTTTGGTAGTAAATAGTCCTTTGAAAACTTTTGTTTGTTCCATACTATCTTTCAGAATGCAGATAAATGGATTTCAATCAAAATGACAGTCTTTATTGCCTTATGACTTCTTTTTCTAAAAATTAAAATGTATTACCTCATCTTACCCTTTTCTTCCGTTGCTTTGGATATTAAAATATCTTATTTCTCCAAAATGTCTCTTAACCTCTTCATATTTGTTTTATCCTCTCTTTTTCAGATCATTGTTTTATTCTTTAGAGCATTAGAAACATACCTGGGCTAGTAAAAAGGTCATGGCACCTTAGTTTTGTAGCCTTAGTAGACAAAATACACACTATGGGTTGTCTTAAATTACAGAAAAAAAAATCAGTCAAATAAAATTTTATGTGCTGTTTGTGTTTTGAGTCTGAAAAATACAAAAATCTAGTTTCCTTTGTGTTATGATGATTGACTACTCCTAGCATTTTTATTTAACCGTTTGTGGTTTGTATAAGTGGTTATTTTTTGGGAGGTATGTAGAATTTTAAGCGAGGGTGGTGTCTGTGCTGTGTTGCATCCTCAACCACAGGAAACTGCTTAATCACCCAGAGGCCTCTAAAGTCACATTATTAGGCTTAATCTTAATTATCCAGGTTTATTTAAAAAAAGAGAAAACAACATTGAATCCCCGTTTCTGCTTTTGACAGCATTAATAACTACTTTTACTGAAAGATTACTGAAATCAATGATGTGATTAGGATTGTAAATAAGAACTAAAAGACATCACATTTAAAAAGCCAGCTGCTTTGCTTAACAGGGAGATGTGTGGGTTTTACTGACATGGCCCAGAGACAGAAAATGAAGCTTCAAATATAGAGGTCTATACAGAACAATTTCAAAAATTAATTGCAAGTCCTGATCAAGTTCATATGAGTAAGAGAGAAGTTGTCTAGAAAGAGCTCTTTTTTTTCCTTACCCAATGTTTTTACTTTTTATTTGATAGTGATACAAAACCTGCATAGTTTTAGTGTTTGCCTGGGAAGTGTAAACTATTTTCTTAAAAGGAAACCCCTTGATTTTTAAAATACAGAATAAGATTATTCTGTATAATAAGAATAAGAACCCAAATTGTGATTAGGGTTGCAAGTCATAGAGCTATATTCTTATTCTTATAATAAGATAAGAACCCAAATCGTGATTAGGGTTGCAAGTCATAGAGCTATATTCTGAAGAGTTTTAAAACATTATTGGGGACAGACATTATCAGAATAATATAAAACACAGCTTGAGAATTACATTAATAATTAGAATTACATTAGAATTAAAATAGTAAATCAGAACAAACAGTAAAACAGATACTTCAATTTAAAAAAAAAGTATTTCTCTCAGTTTCACTGCCTGCTTAGTATAACTCTTTGTATAAGAAACATGATTTCCATGATATCTTATTTAAACGGGCTTGGCAAATGCTGTACTTTATCCTCTATTTTATTGCAATTTCATCTATTCTTTTTAGGTGAAAGTTACTAATGGTTTTTAAACAGCTTAATATTTACCTAGAATTGTTATGTAAATTATATTTGGTATTCTCCATCTATATAGGTTTTATTATCCTAACATTATAATTAATGTTATAAGGATGTTCAGAGTTTAAGTAACTCACTACATTATTACAGAATTCAAATCCAGATCTTTTGCTGCCCATATACAGGCTCATTTTATTACCCCATGGGCTTTCTTCAGTCTAACTGAATTGAATTTACTTAGGAGGTAAAACAAACAAAAATCTCAAATTAACTTAGAAATGGAGTTAATCCAGATTTTTGACTGACAGAAATGCTGATTTTATCCTAGTCAAATTGGCTAGTACTTTACTGAGTTGAGTGATGGAGGAATTCATAAATATGTTTGAGGGTTTTCTTCTTTAGGGATTTTTATCAGTGAAACAAAGCTTGAATATGTTTTCTTACAAGAAAGCAATATTATAAGCAGTCATCTTTTTCTCATGCAGAAGTGCCCAATGTGGAAATCATAGATTTCAAGGAAGGAACAAGAAAATTGATGAAACAAGTTCAAAAGAAAGGTACCTGTGCCTCATCATTCCTAAAGAACACTGATCAATGATCCCAGAAGTATGCCATGTTCTCTTAATTCATCAGAGACTGAAAGCAAAGGAAAATCAAGAAATGTACACAGTTTACACGGTGCAAATATTGGTGTTTATTTTGTAAACATTTCTGAAGCAGTCTTTAAAAAGGGAAATGTGTTTTTGTTAAATGAATTTCAAGTATCACTTCATGCTAATTTCGTCCTCAATGTTGCTTAAAAATGGTTTTAATTATAAAGTTTTGAAAATTAAAAAATTAAATTTATTCATGCCAGAAGAAAAATGGACAGGAACTTAAAAATACCTTTAAATTTTGAAAGACATAATCAAATGAAGATGATTGTGGCATCGTATTTACTACTATAAGTAAAATTTATATGAATATTTTGGTATAAGAACTGACAGAAGAAAAACATGTTTATTTTAGAAGTGAACTCAGTAATTCAGAAGATACATAATGGGCTCTATAGGGTAGGTTATACCTCTTTTTTACTCATTTCTGAAGGTACCCGACTATGACAGGAGATGATATGGTAAATTTATGAGGAACATAACTTTGAGAATTAAACCAAATTGGGTTCATATTCTTGCTTCTCTAAATATTTGGACTTGGAGAAATTACTTTGAAGCCCTATTAAGTGTGTCAAACATTTGAAACATTTATTAAACTATGATGATACATTGACCTTGTTATTTTGAGGCTTCAACTGAAATGATATAGGTAAAATTCTTATTCTATAGTGGATTCTCAGTAAATGTTAACTATTTGTATGGTAAGATGTTTTGGATGAGGTAGTCTATAAATAGATATTTGTTGAGAATACTCGGCATTAATTTTCTTGGGGGTTTTATTTCCTTTATCAAATATATATTATTTACTAAGCAGATACCAAAACATTTAGTGTCCCTGTTTTGAGGGAAATTGCAATATGATTTTGAAGACTAGATGCAAATGATAAGTGAAGAAGATAACTAACTAAATTTTAGTTAAGCTTCAAAAATATAAAAGTCAATTATGAGCTTTTCCCATAATTATATATCACATTTACTTGCTTTCTTTCAGATAAACTTTTATTTTCAGTAAGTTAAAATTTATATGATAAAACTGATAGGCAGATAGATTATAAAAGTCATTTTCGTAAGCAGATAGCTCATTCATTTTAAAATAGTTTTCTATTTAAATATTTATCAAAATTTTATTACTAAAGGGCTTTAATTTGATAGAGTCATTTAGTTTTTTTCCAATTCTTTAGAGTAATATCTTAATACCTTCTCCTCTATTCCTGCTAATGAGTGCTAAAATTCTCAAAATTAAAAACAAATTGGTGAAAAATAAGCCTCCTAAAATAGAATGAATTCATTAGAATACCCAATTCTGAGCTTTAAGCCTCAATTGTATTTGAACTTTCTTTTCAGCATTTTCCTTGCCATTTTCTGCCTATGATTGCTTTTATTAACATTCTCTTTAGTAATTATGACAATTTGAGAGGCAAAGACTCTCAAAAACATGCATTGGTGTTGCATTGGCGCCTAGTCATAGGAATAGTGAGAGAATGGAAAATAAATGTAAATTATGATATATGTTTCTCAAGAACTTCATAGTCCTTGATTTTGTAATCAATTTGATAAGGAATATATATATGTTCAAATAACTTCATTAAGAGTATGAAAATTATTAAAACATTTAATGACTATGAGTGCTAAAGGCATGGAGAATAAAGAAAACACTTGGATAAAATAAATTAAGCAAAAATTTCTAGAGAAGGACAGCTTTTGTTATGATTTTAATGGCAACAGTGGTGCAGATTGGTAGAAAGAAATATCTGAATAGGGTTAGATGGACTTGAGCAGTAAAGAAATGAAGGCAGGGATAGCAAAAACACTTTTCTAGAAAGGTCATAGAAACAGCAAATGAATGTATTCAATTATGGGCCAATATCCTGAATTTGGACCCAGTTGCTTAAATGCATAATTCCAGCAGTCCTCAATTTTGTTTCATTGATTTATGTTTTCCCCATCTCCACTAGAAGCTTGGCCAATTTGATGTCAATGGAAATGCGTGAGATTTTTATTCAGCATTCACACCTGAGCAATGCTTTTGGTATGTCTTAGGCTAATAGCCAATGTTCAGTCTTAGAATTGTGATAAAACTTAATATTATTGCTTGTTCCTTAGCATATATATTTGAGAACCTTGGCAGCTGCTGCTAATTTAATGGTAAAGTGCTGATTGCTGATTTTCTCAAAGCTTTTTTTTAAACCATACCTAGTCAGACTACCTAACCAAGTACCTAATTTAACAATAATATATTTACATTTTGCTGGATAACACCAGTGGTAAAAGTATTGTTTAAGCCCAAGGAACCTGACAAGCATTCAGTTGGTCACAGTTTTTGATGGATTTGTTGGCTGCATAACTAATTAGTACTTAATGAAGATGTGCTGACTGGATGAATGAATGCTTGACTTTTTACCTTTCTGTTTTAAATTTTAAAATATATTTCTAAGATATTATACCTCAGTTTCACAAGCTATGTTTTTAATAATCTGATTTGTAACAAGTCTTTTAAAATGTTATTTTTAAGAAACTTTACCTAAAATGAAAAATTCACTATACCTAATTACAAGTGCCAATTAATACAGTGCATTTCTCAAAACTGCCACTACTCAAAAGTGGTATCTCTTCTTATAATTTTCTTTTGTTTTCAGATTTTCTTCTCATTTCATAATACTATGTTGAATATATAAATATGTATAGAGTAAGTACAATGGCCAATATTCTGAATTGTTTTGTTCATTTTATAAGGTCATGATGTCATACTAAGAAGAAACCACCTGAGATGAGACTGTTAGATGTTCAGAGTAAGTATGGCTGATACAGAAAGACATTTGCTGCCCCAGGTAGAATCAGGAGGTATTTTAATTTTGAAGCATGTTGCAGGGTTAAGTTAAAAAGAAAGGTTGATTGACCTGTTAGATTTAAAATGATGTCTTGAATTTCAAGTCAGAGGGGACACTGTTTAGCTTCTAGTGTCTCTGTTCTTCACCCTTCTGAAATGGAGATATTTCAGTTCAAATATGGTACGTTGGTTGCCATAGTATATTTTCTTTTTTCTTCTCTTGGGTTGATGGCTAACCCCAGTCTTCTTTATTCCATAACTGACACACTCATATTGTTTGTGGTTTAAATATTATGGAGTTTGTAAATACTTAACTCTGTATTTTGGCCACCTAATAAAGCGTAGGTCGGTTGTCCAGAATGCAAGAGTTTAAGTGGAAATGTACAACACATGCTCACGTGTGTACACACACATACACGTGAGGAAAAAATGGCATTGCAGTTAAAACTTTGTTTTTGTCATAATAAAATAGAAACAGATCTGTGAAACAGAAGTGATCACAAAATCAGATGATGCTACACACAGCGTATACTTGGATTACAGTGGAGAACTTGCACAACCGTTGTGAAAAAGAAGGTTTAGTTTTTTCGTTTTATACAATACACAAATATTAATTACGGATGGATTTAAGCATTCATTAAATATATAAAACCACGGGGTAACTAAATTTATAGCGTACTGAATATTTATATCACTCAGGTATGTTTTTTAAAACCGGGCTTAACATTGTACCTTTTCATATCTACTCCCCAAGGCAAACAAAAACAAAAACAGACCAACAAAAAAAACCCAAAACAAAACAGAAGTTTCTGAAGGACAGCAGAAATGGTAAGTTTTTTCCATGGTGCAAGACACTAAATGGAAAGTAACCTTCTCTTGGGAGCTACACCTAGGTAGACCTAGTCATGTGAACCAGTGATGATAGCAACAGATGAAGATTCTGGATGGGGAAAGTAAGGCTTGAAAATTTTGGATATGTCTGTTATTAAAATGTAAGCCTCTTTTGACATTGGAGTAGCAAGAGGGGGTAAGTAGAATTGTTAGCCTTTTAAAATATTCCTCATTAAGAGGATTTTTTAAAAACCCAATTTTTGGTGTTAAAATCCAAGACACTCTGGAAGGTGGCTTATTTCAGTTGGAAAGATAGTAAGCTGGTTTTCAGGGCCCAAGTAGACAGTATATTTTGGAATCCTGAGGTCTGTTATTTCTAACATGCATGGATAGCATTGACAAATTCTCTTCTGACTGAAAATCTAAGTTGCTGATGTTTTTGATGGTTATTTATTTCTTATCGCAATTCACATTGGAATTTTCCTAAAGGTTTTTTATGTCTTCATTTATTTGTTTTAGTATAATGGTTCTTATCTGATTAATTATATTTTTTCCTAGAATTAAAATAAGATTATATTTATCTCAGAAAGGCAAAGAATGAGTAAATATTTAACCTAGAACACATGATTTGTTTATTTTAAAAGTCTATTGATCTTTATCGTTATTCTTTTTAACAATGTGTCAGAACTAGGCTATGTTGAGATGGGAAAATTCATTTATAATTTTAAAACAATTGCTTCTCTAAGTAAAAATGTTTCTCTTTTTTCTCTTTAAAATTAGTAGTTTGGGTTTAGCTGGCATTCTCATGACTTACATAATATTTATATGTTTAAAATAAGGGTATGCTTGGGAGCATGAGATCTGATTCTTAGGTTGGGGACTGTAACAGTAACTCCTATTTATGTCTCTGTTTTAAAATCAGATCTATTGTATACAAAGAAGAATTTTTATAGGTAATAGCAGAAATGTTAATAGATCTTAAAGTTTTAATTTTAAAAATTAATTAAAAAGATAAATGCCATGATATTTAAGGACCTCTATTTAATATGGTGCTTTTGTCTTAAATTGTTGATGTTCACACTGTCCTTGCAGAATTTTATTGCATTCAGGAACATTTGTGAATTTTCTTTTATCTAAGAAGAATGTGTTATATTTCAGTGAATTATAGGTGGCAGTATACACAGCTAAATTCCATGTGTTACTGCAGGTAGACAGAAGATTTTTCAATTGTTTAACAATTTTATATTTAAGCTTATTGTCATTCTAGCCCCGTTTCTTAACCACCTCCTGTTTTTGGTCTTAATATAAGAACACCAGATAGCCTTCCTTTGATAAGAGAATGCTGGTGAGAAGTATTTTGAATCTCAAGTTTATTCTGAATGTTAGTTAAGATGCATTTAAAAAATTTTGCTAAATAAAGATACATTAGAAAGAGTATAAAACTCATTGACCGCTTGATTTAATATTAAAATGAGAATTTAAAACTAAATGAACTCTTAAAATTACATATCAAGCCAATGACAGAGAATTTTTTATTCTGTCTCTTTCATTTTCTGTTTTAAAAGTTACAAGCAAATATGCTTTGACTGCTAAGTTGTGAAAATACAATACTTTTCTGATTTATTATCCTGAAGTATGATACCTATCTATGAGAAAGTTAAGTACAAAATTGCTGTTCTTTATGCCTGATATACACCCTGAAAGTATTATATTCACGAGAATGATGAGAAAATTATATATGGTATCAAGAAAGAGAATAAACCTTAAATTGATGATCGATAGCTATACTGTGGCATCTCATGGAGAATAAAAATGTTGAGCATTAGAGCAGTCTATTAACTTCATTCCTTCGAGAAACTTTTACAAAGTGTATCTGAAGGTTTTAATGACAGTTATTCAGACACATATGGGGTAGTGTAAGTGAAAGTAAGCGAGGTAAACAGGTCAAACTCTGGTGCCCTGCATGCTTTTCCTGTTGTTTTGTTTTACATACTGAACCTTGTAAAATGTGACACCCCTTTTCCTTTGAAACTGAAATTATTTTATCTAATCAAAATTTCTCATGTGTAGAGGAGGAAATTGAGAATGAGATATTCTCAGTGTAGGGTTGACATTACAGAATAAACCTCTGATAAGTAAACATTACTTCGTTTTTATTTATGTTTACTTGTTTTTTCTTCTGTTTTGAGACAGGGTCTTACTCACTGCAGGCTCAAACTCCCAAGGCTCAAGCAATCCTCCCCCCTCAGCCTCCCAAGTGGGTGGCACTACAGGCGCACACCACCATGCCCAGCTAATTTTAATATTATCATCATTTTGGCCGGGAGCAGTGGCTCACACCTGTAATCCCAGCACTTTGGGAAGCCAAGGTAGGTGGATCACGAGGTCAGGAGTTCAAGACCAGCCTGGCCAACATGGTGAAACCCCATCTCTACTAAGAACTACAAAAATTAGCTGGGCGTGGTGGCACGCGCCTGTGGTCTCAGCTATTTGGGAGGCTGAGGCAGAAGAATCACTTGAACCCGAAAGGCAGAGGTTGCAGTGAGCCGTGATCGCATCACTGCACTCCAGCCTGGGCAACAGGGCGAGACTGCATCTTGAAGAAACAAACAAAAAACAAAACAAAACAGACAAACAAACAAATATATATATATATAATCATTATTTTTAGTAGAGATGAGGTCTCACTCTGTTGCCCAGGCTAGTCTTGAACTCCTGAGCTGAAGAGATCTTCCCACTTCAGCCTCCCAAAGTGCTGGGATTATAAGCATGAGCCACCACACCTGGCCTATTTGTGTTTTCTTGAGTGTGGGATTCTTTTTTTTTTTTTTTGAGACGGAGTCTCAGTCTGTCGCCCAGGCTGGAGTGCAGTGGCGCAATCTCGGCTCACTGCAACCTCTGCTTCCCGGGTTCAAGCAGTTCTCCTGCCTCAGCCTCCCGAGTAGCTGGGATTACAGGTGCCTGACACCGCACCTGGCTAATTTTTGTATTTTTAGAAGAGACGGGGTTTCACCATGTTGGCCAGGCTGGTCTTGAACTTCTGACCTCGTGATCTACCCGTCTTGGCCTCCCAAAGTGCTGAGATTACAGGCGTGAGCCACTGCGCCCGGCCCGAGTGTGGGATTTTTATTTGTTTTATTTGTTTGTTCTTTCCCTCACCATAATTTGTTTATTCATTTTAATATACTCAATTACTTTATAATTATTGACTCATAATCAACTTACAATTTTCCAGTAGGTATTCTTGTTTGCATTTGCTCACATTCATGCTGGCCAATTGTTTTGCACCATTTAACACAAGCAGATATATCAACATTATTGATTCTTATCTGAAATAAGCAGATTTAAATAAAGCCAGATTGAAACTATTTCTTCATATTATTTCCGTGTTCTTTTTCAAGGTCCTTAAAGATAGAGTCTGAAAACTTGTATGTTCCTTAAGTACTTTTCAATGAATTTTTATTGCTTTTTGATAAGATATAGTTCTTCAGCATTTGAAAGTCTGAACACTCCAGCATTTGGAGTTAAAAATAGGGATACATCTATAGAAACCCAAGGAGATTCTAGTTAAATGTATTGAACTAAGTTCATTTTAAAATGTGAAGCCATGAAAATCTGCTAAAATAGGAGACCGATCAAAGAGTCTCTTTTGGGATGGAGACATGTAATGGGCCCCAGGTTTTATCTTCCCTTTTTGAATAATTTACTCACCTTGATAGCTCTTGAGTCAGATAGTGTGTTGAGAATGAGCAACTTTTCACCTGAAACTAATACTAGACCTAAAACTACCACAGTCCCACAGGATATGTCTCCCTAAAAAGTATTTTAAATGTACTAGTTGAGATTTCAATACTTAAACGGTTGCCTAGGTTAAAGTAAAATAATAAAATAAACATCTTCGAGATGTGGATGTTGCCATAGAAGTACAACTGACTTATTTTGCATATTTAGCTAGGGCCTAAGAAAAATCATTTATATATGTTGTGCCTACATGGACCTGTATGATAATCTAGATATTAGACCCTTTACTTTTGTGGACTCACATTTATATAATATAGAGCCTTCCAGAAATTAGTAACTTGTAATGCCCCATGTAATTTCACTTTGAAATGAAAAATGGCAAGAAATTTTGATCAATTACTTAATTCATTTATTCAACAAATATATATAGCACACCTGTAATATGCCAAGATGCTTGAACACATTAGTGAACAATGTTCTTGCCTTCATTTGTGTGTGTGTATAGACAAAAAATATCAAATAAGTATATCAGATAAATAAATCATCTTGAATGCTAGGACATTAAAAGTGCCATAGAGATCAGAAAAAGCAGAGCAAGTTAAAGGAATCTCTTAATTTTAAGTTAAGCACTTTTTCATATGAAATTTGTGGAGGTTATAAAATACAGATGTGAGGTTGAATGGGATAATAAGTGAATATGGTTGTTATGCCATGAGAAGAGAAAACAAAAACAAAAATTTGGTTGTTCTTTTTTAAGGTTTCCTTCAGGAGTTGCTTTAAAGCTGATTTCTCAGTAGCCACCAAATTGAATGTTTTCCCACTAGGCAAATGTTTTCCCACTGCCACTAAATTGGTGGCAGAAGCACTGAAATAACTTTGTCATTCTAATGGCAAGAAGGCTTTTAAAGAGATTTTGAATAAGTTTCTATTTTTTGTTAGTTGTCTTTTTTGCAGAAATTTGAGGTAGTATTTTAAGTGTCAGTGGAGATAGAACATTGGTTCCGGATGTTGCGTACCCAGCAGGAACCCTTGGAGGAATTTCTTGTTTACCTTAATAACACCGTTATCATTTATGGGGAGTAGCTAACAGTAAAATACATGCAAGGAAATAAAAAGCAAAGACAAATCTAGTTACTGTTATTTGAACAAGTAAATTTGATATAGAAACTGATGACAGTGAACTGTCAAACTTGACTACTCTGTGTGCCTCCATTGATTGGCCTTTGCAAAAGTCTGATTTGTAGTCAAGTAGTAATGAAAATGCTTAAAGATGCTGAAAGTCAATATAATGGGCACTTTTGGAATGTACCACATGTTCAGTGTGCTTCCAATATACATTTTATAAGATTTCTCTCAGTTCATTTGGTTATACTATTAGATAAGCACTAATCTTAGAAAATGTTATTTCCTCTGC
Organism: Homo sapiens; assembly: GCF_000001405.40. Lineage (NCBI taxonomy): Eukaryota > Metazoa > Chordata > Mammalia > Primates > Hominidae > Homo > Homo sapiens. The sequence goes on along the minus strand of NC_000004.12, from coordinate 133,133,801 downwards.
ATGCAAAATCTGTAGTGACAAAATGCTCATTTCGTGTAGTTCTCTGGAAGATTTTGTCCTGCTAAAGTTTCATAGTTTTGTTCTACCAGTGTGTCTATCCACCCAAGGTTACTTATTTATTTGCTTACTGTCTTCACATACTTACTTATTTTAGAAAAACATGAAATAATTAGGTTGGAACTTTGTGGTAGGTGCTTACAAGTACTTTTCTGGATAAAAATATTCTCAAAGGAAAAGTGGTAAGATGGTAGGGCCAGTGTGAGTACCCGAGTTTTGAACCACCAGTTAGTTATGTCTGGGTCATAGATGTATGTAGACTAGAAAAGGAGGGATGGATCCCAGGATAAAGGTGGGACTATCACTAGACATAATAATATTAGAGAAACAGAAACCTGGATAAATTCAGTCAAGTTCTACATATGTGATGTTCATAATGATGACAGTCAAGAAGAACATGTTAAATATTGTCACCTGTATGCCTTTTAACAAGGCAGAGATATTTTTTAATTCATTTCAGAAAGATTTCTATGAAATGGTCCATATTTATATAAAGTAAATAAAAAATTACATTAATGAAAATAATAATTTCAGTATTGTGTGAAGTCCTTGACTAGTTATTTTAAAAGTGCTTTGATAAAGAAAATTTTTTTGTATGTATTATCTATTTTTAGATTCTGATGGATACATTACATCATTACAGATTGTATTCAATCTACTTTTAAAAACTGCTCCATATATATTTAGCTTACTGATTTGCCATGCCTCATTAGCTGCAAACCTGTTTCTCAATGAATTTTCTATTATTTATAGGCTTATAGTGCAATGAATTAATATATTTACAATTATAATATATTAAAAACTTTCTCAATCACATTTAAATCATTCTTCCTTCTGTATACAATGAGCTCTATTTTAGCGGAAGATATATGGAATTATACAAATTTACTTGTAGATGTGTTTCTAACTTAATTTCATCATATAAAGTTGAAACTATATGTCTTAGTGTCTGTAGACAGATTGTTAAATTTATATAATGTCTTTCTGGGAGAAATGAGAGTAATTAAGAGGCACAATGTTACCTATTTAATTAGCCTATTTGTATCCTCAGAAGAATCCTTAGTTGTGAAACGTATGAGAGCTTGCCCTTAGTTAATTGAACCAGAGGATTTTTAAAGTCATTTACATTTCTCCCTACTCATTTGGTTTAGTTTTGTTCACTCTAAAATGGCTCACCAAAAGATTCCAGACCATACACTTTTGTCTAAGTAATATTTTGTTGGAACCTGTGTAAATCTATGGTCAAATCTAGGGTCAGTATCAAACCTATTTTGTTACCAGAAAGCACTGAGTATATTTTTACAATAAAGAAGTATTCAAATATAAAAATATATCACCTAGATCTTTAAGAGTAAGGGATTTAATGTGTTGACACCCATTGAACAATTCAAAATGCAATTTGAGAGCTACTTAATCTGTCTTTCTTGTGGATATTGCTAAACCACAGGCACAGAGAGCTTAGTTTACATATGGATCCTCCCTTCCCCAGATAATTGTATTTACTAAGATAAACTTTACCTATTTTACTTTAATATTTCTTTGAAAGGTAAGTCCCAGTTTAGAAATTAGTGACTGAAAGGCATCACGCTTTTAATTACTCTTAAAAAGAACCTTATCTATCTCCTTTGAAAACTCTAAATTAGATTAAACTTTTGGGAGAGAAACAAAAGCAGAGGGGAGTTGCCAGTGAAGTGTTTTGAAGCCAAATGTAAGTTACCAATCCTTTTATGGAATAAAGGAAACTAAGAAAAACAGCAGCTGCCATTTCAGCTCAATAACTCCAGTACCTCCTAATGAAATCATTTTAAGACTGCTGAGTAGAAATAGTTTAAAGGTCTATTGTAAAAGAAACAAGAATTTTATTCATTAAATTAGACTCGTCAGAGACTGCTTTGAATTTGCAAAACTGAATAACCTTTTATTCCATGGTTATAGTTAAATCCTTAAACTCATTTGATTTCCTATGTCCCATTTGATTTCACTTTAAGTTTTCACCTTTACAAATGCATTACAGGCCAATCCCATAATATTTTCATTGCTCTCTCACTTTAGTAAAAAGGCAACAGAGTAACTCTTCATAAAATTAGCACACGACTGTGGGAATATAAATTGCAGAAATGAAGTCTCCTGATAATGCACAAGTAATAGAATGGAGAACATTTTTGTTTATGTGTTTTCTCAACTTCAGATAGCTAATGGAGACTTTCTTTTTTAAAAAAATTTTAATAGTGACATTTTTATGCTGTAGAATATTAGACTTGTACAGAGATTACTTTCAGTTTTGTTACTTTTCAGTTGAGATTTATTCAAATGCAGAATTCATGGCAGTATTTGAGATTTTGCCGCCTAACAGATATGAGACATTAATTTGTACTTCATTAATTTAGAATTTCTGAAAATTTAAGTCTAGTATGATTTTTTGACAGTGAAAAAGAAGGTATGCTAAAAAAATAGTGTACATACTAAGTATGTAAAGTATACATATATACTTATGTATATACTAAGGAAAAGTATACATACTTAGAAATGAGCAGGTTTCAACATTTTAAGAATAGTTGAAAATGTTCAAAGCATTATTTTTCAATAACTTTATGTCATGGTTACAACTTACTAATTATATCATTTATCTTCGTAAGAAATATTTGGTTGTTCTAGAGCTTAACATACTTCACATTATTACAGTTTCTTAAAAATACTTAAATTTTTTTTTCAATGTAATACATTAGAATTTTAATCAAACAGTACAGTGAACAAAACAGAGATCTATTGCTCCAGCCTCCCTATCAAGACACCCAATCCCCAGGGGCAATACTGTGAATCTTTCAGCTGTTTCTTCTGGTATTTGTGCATGGCCCAAGCAGTACTCTGATATTTCTGTTTCTTGATTTTCTACTTTAGAATCTATGTTTCTATTAATGTCTCAGAGTGAGATTTCTTTTAACTATCTGCCCATACATATAAAAACATGCTTCCTCTCTCTCCATTATCCCAAAAGAGCTTTATTATATTTTTTGGTTAAAATATTATTTAGTGTTTACATTATTATGAGCATATAAATTTGCTTTTATCTGAGCTTAGTATTATACTTTGAATACAGTTGGTTTCTTGAGCAACTGTTTTTATTGGAGTTTATGACTTGTTTTATCATGTGTTTAATTTGCATATACCTACCACTCCAACACTCCAGAAACACTATAAATCCTGTCAGTACAAACACATCAGGTAATCTCCTGGGTGTTTTTTTTTTTCCTTTTTTGAATGCCAGCTTCTGGAACAGCTGATCTCTAGGTCAGCTACATAGCTGCTAACCCCAGACTTCCTATCACCGACATCCCAGACATTCCTTTTGCCTTTTTCATGTGTTCAGTCTTTTGCTTATCCTCTTTCTATTATTTCTTAATTTTAGCAAACATTTCCTCCAGAAACTTATGAGATAGGAATCATGGGCATTACATTTTTGAAATTCTACAATTATGAGAAACATTATTGAACATGGTATTTGACTGAAGATGGAATTCTAGTTTAGAAATTAGTATTTTTCCAAATGACGAAGTTGTTTCTTCTAAATCTTAGGACGTTCCGATTCTAAATCCAGATCTGTCTAATGTGAACTGTTGTGCTTGTTAATCTCTCCAGAAGATTTTGTGATTATCTCTTTATCTTTGGTATTCCAAAATTTCAAAATGGTACATCCTGTGTGCCACTCCCCATAAAAACACAAACAAAAAAATACATTTCACTGGGTTGAGTACTCAGCAGGCCTTTGTACATTCTGAAAGATAAATATCTTTCAATCTTTGAAAATATTTTGATATCATTTATTTGATGATTTTATTCTTTTCTTTTGTTGAATTTTTTTTCCTTAAAATTTAAATCAGTGCTCGAATTGTATTACCTTTTATTGTCTATTTTCCATATCTTTGTGATTTTTCTGCTTTCTAAAATGTATTCTTAACTGGACCGTCCAACCCTTCTGTGGATATTTTTATGTCTGTTATTACATGCAGTAACTTCTAAGAGTTATTTCTTTTACTCTCAGTTTACTTTTTTAATAATCTCATTGTGCTCTTATGGATACATTATCTTCTATTATGTCTCTGGAAAAATTAATATTTTCTTTTGAATTATTATCCTTCTATGTTTCTTCTTTTTCATCCAAGATTTATTTTCTATTTATTGATTTTGTTCACTATTTTTCATTTAGAGGACTGGTTTATATGTGTTACTCATTGACCATCCATTCAGTTTTGAATGCTGAGCAAAAATGTTGATTTACTGCTCAGAATAAAAGTTGATTGGATGCTTAGTGTGCATGAGTCAGCTTGCAAATGGCTGGTCTACCTCACAGTAAGGAGAGTCACTTAATTATTTTTAAGTATAAATGTTTAGGGCCCATTTATCCTGGTCTGATGTTCATAGAGAAGAATTTTCTAATCTCCTGCAGGTGAATGTATGAAATTGGCTGGGGAGTTCCATTTTTGATGATGCAGATGTTCATATTAAGCCTGTTGTTTTTATTTGGCTCCCGTATTCCCCTCCACTCCTGTCAGCTGTGTCTGGTGATCCAAAGATAAAACCTTCTTTTGCTTAACATCTCCATAAAGTTAATGTGTGTTGAGAAGAGAGGGCTACTTTAAGGACTGGTAGGAAAGTTAAAAGTATTTTTAGAGAAGTAATCTTTCCTGTCATTCAACAAACCTCATTATTTTCAGTCTCATCCCACAAGCTTTAGTAGTTCTTTACAAGTCACTAGTATTTCCCATTTCTGAGTAATTCAGTGGTCTGCAAAGAAGGACTTGGTTTGCTTCCTTTGGTTTTTCCCTTGAGGGAGCTTTGGCATTGGCTTTCTTTACTATACTGTATCCGTTACTATGTATCTATCTACTTTTCTTTTACCAAAACTTTTTGACATCTCTCATCTGCTGTAGTTTCTTCTCCGTTTCTTGTATTTGTGTGAATGTTTTGCATTCATTCACTTGTCACATGAATGCAATTTAGAAAAAACATGCTCAACCAGAACTCAGTGCAACTTCAATTTTGTAAAACTATTCTGTAATTCAACAATTTTCAAATTTTATTTTAGTGACTTCACATTAATGACACTTTGCATTAGCTGAGATAGCAAAGTGTTCGCGTGAGGAAATGGTTACTTGCTAGCTATGGAATTCAAATCTTGTCTTCTCACCACTGGGATAAAGTTGATTTGAAAATGAATATATCTATATACTGACTGAATTCTTCAGTCAATAAAGAAATATTCCTACAATATACCAGAGTGTTTAATTGATTTTCTGTAGTACTCAATTCCAAATATGAAAAACAATGTTAATGAATGAGACAGCCTATCAGTAGTATTGCAATCTATGGTTAGCTTATTCCTAGAATAATTGCTACTGTTATTGTACATGAATTTTAGACATCACTATTGATGATTGTTAATAAAATATTAATAAAATTGACCAATATCATAAAATGTCTTACCCAAATATATAAGATTCAGTGAGCATATTGATATATACTATTAAATTGCTGTAACTGACAAAGAGATAAAAAGAATATACTATTGAAAAGGGGGTAAATTCAAGGAGGAAATGAATTCAAAAATTATTTGGTGATAGTATTTTTGGCTATTTTCTATTACAAAGGGAAGATGAAACGTAGTTTAATGTTTTTGAATTAGTGGCTAGATACTGGCATTTGGTTTCAGGCAGATTAAGCTTGAGGTTCTTTTAAAATATTAAACAGCAGCCTGTAATACAGTACTGCAGCTCATCAGAGATGTCTAGGTCAAATATGTAGAACTGATCAGATTAGCTTAGCTACACAGAACAGATATATTCCCATATCACAAGTGTTTAAGCAAAATCAAAATTTATTTCCTCTAGTCGAAAAAGGCTATGGAAGGCAACTCAGGCTAATTTGAGCTCAACAAAGTTATCCAGGCTTTTTCCAGATGTCCACTCTGCCATCCCAAGGGCTGGCCCTCCTCTTATGAGACCCAAAATTTTGCATGTAAATGCTTCATCACAATGGTGTCTCCAATAGCTAAATGGAATAAAAGAAGAAGACATCACCCTTCTCTTTTAAAGACACTTAATCAACCTCCATCACCATTCTGTTTACATCTCTTTGGCCAGAATTTATTGTATCTCACGAATCTACAAAGAAGTCCTGGGAATAGAGTCTTTTAATCTGTATGGTAACTCGACAGGCTAAAAACCAGCTTTCTGTATTTAAATAAAAATAAGAGAATAGAGGAAGGAGTAGGTACCTGACAGTTGTGAATTAAGTTACTGACACATAGATTGCATTTTGAAATGTAGACGTATATGAACCAGAAAAAGTATGTTAAAAATCTTATTTTTAAATCAGATTTTTGCAGGTTGAGCAATGAATGCAGATGAGGAACTAAAGAGAAGTAGAGACAAATCCTTCAAGGAACTTGAATGAAAAATGAGGGACAGGACAGTATCTCAGAAATATAGGGTTTGTGAGAGAGAAAAGTTAAATCAGAAGAAGGCCAGTCAAAAATGGGGGACATGATGAGCCTGATGACCAAGTCGAATTTTTAAATGATGCAATATAGTGATTCTCTGCTTAATGAATGTATGTGCACTAATCCTTTACTTTAGGTATTATCATCTTTTTTATGTAAGTGCAAAATTGTAGGCCTGAAAGGTTAATTGAGACACAGAGCTGTGAATTTAACCAATGCCCCAATCTCAACTCGTAATTTCAATCTATCCCACTACCTCTTCTTCATTAGGAGGGATCTTAACTCTTAGACATAATTAATTTACATTTTTATAAATTAGGAAGTTAAAGAGCTCAGTGAAGGTGAGATGGTGTTAGAATGAACAATACAAGTATGCTTTCAGTGGAAAAACACTTTTTAATGGTGACAAATTTCAAAACAATTTATCTAGGATCAGGTGCTGAAGGGGCACATTCTAATTACATTTCCAAAGTGGAAGCTGATCACTATATATTTTTTTCAGTGACAGAATTTTTTTATATTTAAATGCATAACTAACTTTCCTCCAAATAAGCCCCAAACAAACAAGAAACCAGATTAAATAAACTTCACATTGAATATGCCCAACCAACATTTGTATGTGCAACTAAACACTGTCTATTACTGCAGTGTCAACCTTAAACAATATAAAGTGTTCTGGGGAGTTGAAGAAGCCCAAGTTTTAACTCTGTGGTATTTGGGGAGAGAAGATGCCGTAAGTAAGAGAAAGGGGAAATAAATTTTATATTTCTTAATTTTGTCCTTCCAATATATTCATAAAGACCAAAAGAGAAAAGGAAGCTTGGGATTGTAAATAAATAGAGGAATAACGGAGTGTGGGACCCTCGCAATGCTACCTGACCAAAACATATGAAAGAAATTAATTCCTTTCATATTGAAAAGGTGGGAGAAGAGATGAAAAGTGACTGAAGAGGATGGGAAAGAGACAAAAGGAGAGGGGACCATCCAGGGGAAAAGAAGAGACCCATGGCAGGGGAGCAAGGTGGAATTCAGTGCCAGTGAGTGCCTGTTTCCATCTGTATCCTCATTATCTTAGGCTCCACTTGAGGGTCTGTCTCCTTTCTTCAAGCCTCTGTGCTGTCAGGATCCTCCGGTCCCCTCCACCCTGCCCCCGCCCCTACTGTGCCGGTCCCTCCCCTCTTCTGTTTACTAGGAGTTGGCTTGTTCCATAACCCTCAAGTCATAGTTCTTTTTAGCCAAAGAGGGAGACTCAGGCGTTTGGTACTGCTCAGAGCCAGGAGAAACCCTACATACAGAAGGGCTCGTACCATTTGCTGATTCAGTGAAATCTGGCTATAGTACACTGGTATGCCACCTGCCAGGAGGCCTCCTTGCACAGACTGGCTCACAGGGACTAGCATGGGTAGCTGGAAGGGAGGCTGGACCACATTTTGGTAAGAAGGACCAAGCTTGCATCTGGCCCCCCATTCTGCTGCTCTGGTTGCTGAGCAGGCCCTGGTACTGGGGTTGTGGATCCCATTCAAGCCTCTATAAGCTGCCTGCTCCTAGTTAGGCATTATGGGATATAAACCATTATAGGATGGTTGAGGTACTCCCAACTGTTGATCACGTTGGGAGCTGTAGACCACGGGGCGAGAGAGAGAGGTCAATATTTCGGGTTGGAATTAGAATACTGTCCAAGAGGACAGTGAAAAATCTGGATCTGTTGAGGGGGCTGCATGTAGTTCTGGGAAGAATTGCTGAGTGGAACAGTTGGAGATGGGGAGGAGCTGTCCTGTGGGGAGGAGCTGTCCTGTGGGAAGGGCTGCACTGCAATGAAGCTTATCTGCTGAGGATGCTGAAAGATAAGTGGGGACCAGAACAGAGGGGAGGATGGGTCAGCTGCTTCTGTAGAATCTTAGTGGTAAAGGCTCATTTCTCCGAAGGGGTTGCTGATGTTGTCTGCCTGTGAGATCTTGCAATTATTCATGGGAGGCTGTTGCTGAGGCATGGGTGGGAGGGCAGGAAGTTGCTGCTGCTACTGCTGGGCAGTATAGGGGAGAAGGCCCTGGACAGACAGGGACGAGGTTACCTGGTTGCACATTTCCGGGGCACCTAGTGCCATACCTGGCCTGGAGATCCTTCTTGCACTGCCACCTTTACTGCTTCCAGTGCTATAGTCAGGTGAAGATGGAGATTCTGCTGAAGTAGCTGGCTTTGGTAGCAAAGGGTCACATGTTTCAAGGCCATGGCTCTGAAGATTTGAGTTCACTATTGATGCTGCTCTGTTGGCTGCTTAGGGAAAGCTCAGCGCCTTGAGTGGCAGCTCAGCCCCTTAAGCTAATCCCCAGCTGTCATGTAGATATCTGTTCCAGACAATCTCATTCTGTACTGAATTGTTTCTCTTGAGAATCAATCTCTGCTAAAATTCTATATTCTTCTCATCCTTTGTATGTCTTGAAAACTCTGTTCAGGCAGTCTTATGTTACTGGTTTTGTTGATGATGACAGATTTTCAAGTTTGAGCAACATTGTGGTCCATCCCCAAATAGGCAGCTATCCAGTGTAATTGCCTCCAGTGATATGAAGTCATCTGAGGGAACCTCTTAACTAGTTATTGTTTTAATAAATTTCAGAATCTCCTACTTTCATATTAGTAGCATCATTTTGTTCTTTGGGTTCTTTTTCAGTGTACTTACAAGAAATTCATGGAAGTCTCTTCCAGCGGAGTGTGTATAATTTTGGCTTGGGTTTCTGGACAACATCTTCCTTAGGACCTTTTTTTTGTTTGTTTTTGTCCTTGTCTTCCTTTTCAGAGACTTCCTTTGAGGACTTTTATTCCTCCTTGTCAGAGGGGCAACTGATGTGCAGTTGAGTTATATCCTTGGCCCATCACCAAATAGGGTGGAGAGCTTCTCACATTCTGCTAGGCTATACACAACTTCAACTTGGAACTGGACTTGGCTGTTTTTTCTGATGTGACCATATTTGATGTCCATCTCTGTGTCTCCTGAGTCAAACTGATATCTTCCCCTCTTTCTCAATTGCTTTCTTGCCTGGAGTCTTAGATGTAATTTTGTCTTTGATTATTGATTCTACCATCAGTTTTTTTTCCTGATTCTTTCATTAATTCAGAGGATCTTTTGAGCAGTGTTACTGTTAGACATTGACCAGCAGTGAAAGACTGATATACACCAGTAGTATGTATTTAAATAAATTATCAATAACTAACAGAGATGAGAATGATAAAGACCTGTGTGGTAGAGAAATATCCTTACTTTGTGTAGGTAAGCCCCAGCTAGGGCTTGGTGGTCTGAAATAAGACTACAGCATATTAATTTGATTCAGCATATTATTAATACAAGGTTAGCTAAAATATTCCAATGCGTTCAACTCCTAATATGATGTTCTTACTAGGAGTTGGCTCGTTCCATAACCCTCAAGTCATAGTTCTTTTTAGCCATAGAGGGAGAATAATCCATTCTTTATGGCTCATTGTGGGGAGAAGGTATAGATGTGTGTAATTATTTAGGCCCTTAATATGTGCTAGTGCATTGAAGTCTTTTAATGTTTTTATTTACCTTTTTTCCCAACATTTTGAGGTGGATAAGATTATTCTCCTTTTACAAATGAGAAAACTGAGATTGAGATTGAGATTAAAAACCTTGTAAGTGGTTGAATCAGAGTTGTACTCAAGACCAACTCAACAGTAAAAAATCTAAATAACTCACTATATAATATTGTCTGCTTGGATGCATGTATTTGATTCCTGGGGCTTCTTTTAAAAATTAATTACAAACTTGGTGGCTTAAAAAAAAATGGAAATTTATTTTCTCACAGTTGTAAAGACGAGAACTCCAAAATCAAGGTGTTAGTTTCCTCCAGAGCTTTCAGGGAAGAATTGTTGCTTGCCTCTTCCAGCTTCTGGTAGCTTAAGGATTCGCCTGCCTTTTGGCAGCATCACTCTAATCTCTACCTTCGCCTTCACGTGGCGTTTTTCCCTGTGTCTGGGTGTGTTGCCTTTTCTACCTCTTATAAGAAAGATTGTCATTGGATTTAGGACCCACTGGGACCCCTGGGTGATTTAGGATCACCCAGGATGATCTTGTCTAGAGATCCTTATCTTAATTACATCTTCAGAAACTCTTCTTCTAAATAAAATTGCATTCTGAAGTTACAGGTGGACATATCTGTTGAGGGCCACTATTCAGCTCACTAAAATGAGCATGACCAAATTTTTTAAAACATGTTTTTGAATTGTGAAATATAATAAATATACAGAAAAATATATATTACTAATGTATGATATAATTAAAAATTATGACGTGATCACCTGTGTAGCTACTACCCATATCAAGGCATAGAACATTCCCAGAACTCTAAAATATACTGTTTCCTTTAAGGATCACCTCATTCCTGTTCATTGGATTATTATGACTTTATGGGAATTACTTTCTTGCTTTTCTTTAAAATCTTACTACTCATACTGTAAAATAAGACAGTTTTATGTATTTTTCAATTTTATACAGATGAAACTTTATGTTTTACTTTGTGTTATGCTTCTTTTAATTAATATGATATTTATAAGAACTATATATATCGAGAGTAGCTGTAGTAAATTTATTTTCTTTACAACCTAGCTATATGTTTTACATTTGTTGCAAAAGTTTATCACATTCTATTTTTGGCTATCACAAACACATATTATAATCATTTTTTGTTTATTCTGGTATAACTGTGCACAGTTTTATATGAGATGTATGCTCAGTAGATGACAGGTTTACAAAGCAGTTATGGCAATATACCTTTCGTTAGCAGCTTATGTGAATTCCCAATGTTCTCACATATTTAATAGCACACAGTATTGGCTGAAATTTTAGTTTTCTTATAATTTCATACATGTGCAGTTATATTCCATGGTGGTTTTAATTTCTTTCTCTTTTTTTGAGAAAGTATTTTGCTCTGTTACTCAGGCTGGTCTTGAACTCCCAAGTAGCTGGGATTACAGATGTGTGCTACCTTGCCAGGCTTATGGTAGTTTTAATTTAAATCTCTCTAATTACCAATAAAATTGACAATATATCTTCATAGGTTATTGGATTTGTACTTTCATAAACTTTTTGCTGGTTCAACTGTTTTTCCCATTTTTTCAATTTGACTGTCTTTTCTTATTATTTGTCTTTCTTCTTATGGTATGATTCTGGATAGGAGTCCATTTATTAATCACACATACTATAAATGCTTTCTTTCATATAGTAGTTGTCTTTGCTCTCTTTTTATTGTGTGTTTTCATGAGCAGAAGTTCTTTTTATAATGTAGTCAATTTTATTCATTTTTTATTTATGGTTAGTACTTTTGGTACTTAAAAAAAAGCTTTTTTTACCCTATCTTACCAATGCTTCTAATTTTAATTTTTCTTTTTCTGTGCATCTATCACCAGCTAAACCCTTTGCTGATTGACATATTCTTTTTCCAGAGATGGTAATATATTTAGGTTGTAATCAAATCTTGCTTAGTGGGAGCAATTCTGTCACTTTAAGATGTGTTGTATAATTCTTGTACATGATTTTTCCAACTTAACTTGGAAGCCAGTCTTAATTTGCTCATTTTCATCTTCTTAGCAGATTTGTTATGGTGGGCCTTAGCTATCCAGTAAGTATGAATAAAAGAGGGTTTCCTTTGAAATCGGTTTGCTCTGATAGTGCTTTGGTTAAAGAATCTCCCCAACTGATTTCAGAGTTGATGATACTTTATATTACTTAGGTATTTGACTACATGAAAAAGTTTACTGTTTATCAAATATTTTATATATGACACTTCAATGAATTATCTAGTGAAAGCTATAAATACATATAACTATGATAATTTTATTGAAGACTCTCAGATTCATTAAATTACATAATCAAGGGCAAGCTAGGAAGTTAAGTGCTGAAATACGAACTCAAGTCTGACTTTTTTTCAGTTCTTCCCTTAAAGTTTTAAACTTTGGAGTGACAGATTCACTTATTTTAAATTATATCACCAATTTTAAGAAATAAAAGAGCCATGTCATTTAAACTATGTCCAGATTTCTCCCTACAAGCATTCTTTCTTTATCCAGATTCATGTAGACTTACTCACTTTTATGATCCTTTTGGTTTATATGTTAGTTAAATGTAATGTGTTTTCTTTCTCTTTGGGAATTTTGGGGTGAGGTATAGGGAGCCTCTGTCAGATAAAACTTGCTTAAGCAAGTGGATTTTATTTTTTTCTTGTTTGCATTTTTTTTTCTTTTTTTCTTTTTTGAGGCAGAGTCTTGCTCTGTCGTCCAGGCTGGAGTGCCGTGGTACAATCTCGGCTCACTGCAACCTCCGCCTCCCAAGTTGAAGCAATTCTCATGCCTTAGCCTCCCAAGTAGCTGGGATTACAGGCATGTACCACCACATCCAGCTAATTTTTGCATTTTTAGTAGAAACGGGGTTTCGCCATATTGGTCAGGCTGGTCTCTAACTCCTGACCTCAGGTGATCTGCCCCCTTCGGCCTCCCAAAGTGCTGGGATTGCAGGTGTGAGCCACCATGTCCGGCCTCTTGTTTGCTCTTTAGCACATGTACTAGATGAGTGAAAAAGGGCAGTATGGGCAAGAAAAAGAAAAATTATTCAATTCAAGAAGTTTATTTACTGTTTGTCTACAATACCATTTGACTATGGTTGCTTTTTTAAAAAATTCTAGTTTAGCTTATATGGTTTTAGAATATATAAATGCCAGTGCTTTAAAATCTTAAAATCAGATTTATATATTTGTAATGGGCAATTTATAACCTTCTGTCTCAGAAGTTACTTTTTGAGAGCAGATTCAGTGATTCCAAACTCTTCTACTAGCTCCAGACTAATGATGAAGATACATAGTTATCTCTGAGGTTATGGATGGGCTAGGGAAGAAGAAAAAGTGGGCATACTGATATTTTGACCCTATTTGCAAGAAGAGATGAAATATTATAATGAGCAGGTAAGATTTTTAAGAAAAACAATATTTAAAAATGCAGTGTCTAGACTAATATAGCACTTTTGGATAAAAATGCTCACAGTTGTGTAGTTGTGTAATTTTTCTAATCCCCTTTGCCTTCTAGCATAGGACCATGGACAATTTATCATGTAATTAATTCTTTAAATTTATAGTATATGTATAATAATAAATTGTAGTGAAAATTTTGGTATTTGAAATAACATCTAACATGTCAGACTAAGGTTAATCACCAAGTAGTAAGCCATCTTTTACACATGTTTCTACCTATGGTTTCTTCTTAGTATTATTTCTCATTCTGAAACATTTCAGGAGTTCCTAGATTTGAAATCCTAGTATAAATACACTTCTTTAAAAAAATTCTTTTGTTTTTAATTATAATCACATCTTTTTTAGGAGAGCAATAGAGAGGGTAGCTTTTATGTGTCAGTTTCTCCATTGAGTTATACCCTGTCATGCTTTCAGGACATACATTTATTGTACAAATATATGTCCTACTAGTTGGTATAGATTGAAGTCAGAGTAAATCTTTATCATTCTACTGGGTGTTGGGGGATTCTCTTAAAATCATGCTTTTCAATTTACTTGGAGCCTCCTTGGCTCCATCTCCTGCTGTTGTAATCATTAGTGGAAGTTCATAGAGAGTGGAATTTCTCAAAATATCGACAGTTTTTTTATTCAGAACATGAGTCCTGCAGGCATTTCTTTTCAGTTTTACTTAGCTTGAGATATTTAGCTGCACCTTTGACTTTAATATGCTTATTACAGAGCCTGAACACAGAATATGTTTCCTCCTGCTTTAAGATACAGATGGCAAAAATCCTTAGTCTGCCAAGGAATTTTATTTGCTTTTAAATCCTAACGGTCCCACTATATGACTTTGTTATATTAAGATTTTAATAGTGCAAATAAGGGTCAAGGCTTCTTTGTTGATGAAATTTTAAATCACCCTTTGGCTTTCTTGTATTTGACACTTATTTTCTGTTTCATCTTTAAAAGCGGAAGGCCATGAGCTTTTTTTTCATCCAGTGATGTAGTTGGATTTTATTCATGTTCAGACTCATTGAAACATGCCAACCATATAAAAACAGTTGCCAATATGGGAGAAGTCTTCCTTGTGTTGTGATAGAAAGGATTTCACTGTTTAAAAGTAAACTTAAAATAAAAATGTATTCCCCTCTTTAAAAGAGGAGCATGTGCCTGCTTGTCCCAGGTGGCTTTCTATAAGAATGAGAAACAGGGTAGACTTATTTGATAACATCTTCAGTTGTTTTTCAAATTGTTTGTATTTATACACATACATACATAATATTTATATATACATACCCATACACAAACATCACCCCATATATATATACATATATATACACACATACATGTACATATATATGTGTGTGTGTGTGTGTGTAGTGTGTGTGTGTGTGTGTGTGTATGTGTGTATATATATGATGTTTGGCCTTAGAAACAATCCCCATTTCAATGCCAATTTTGAATTGGTTACAAACATTACTTAGACTTGATTTTCGACCAACTTGGAATGCAAAGAAAGCTTTTTCTTTTTCTTAAATTAATGCTTCTTTTTTTTGACTTGTAATTGTGATTTATGTGTCTGGATTTTAAAATTATTTAAAATTAGCTGAATTTTGAGTCAGTGAATTTCTCTTGACATTACACTTAGTATGGTTTTGCTCTACTACCTGAGTTCTTTTTGGTAGGTGGGATTGTTACCTATCTAATCTTCTGTAGCAGCAAATATAGGATCATAGTTAAAAAAAAAAAGTCCTATTGATTTTGCCACTTTGATGTTTCCCTATCACTTCCATCCCTTCCATTCATTCTGTCACTGCCCTAATTCAGGTCCTCAGTTCCTCATATCAAATTTTTGCAAGTTTCTATTTAGCCATTTTGCTTTCCAATTTATCTCCATTCTAATTCATTCTAAACATTACTTTCAAAAGTATCATTTTTCAAAAATATAGTCTTATCACACTTTTTTCTGCTACAGAACCTTCCGTGTCTTCTCATTGCTTTTGGAGTAGTTTCAAATTCCTTAGGAACTGCACGGTTCAATACAGCAGCCACTAGCCATATGCAGCTATTTAAATTTAAATATAAACAATTAAAAGTAAATAAAAGAAATTGAGTTCCTCCATCACAGTAGCCTAGTTTCAAATACTCAAAAGTCACATGTGGCTAGAGATTACTGAATTGAACAGCACCATTCTAGAATATTTCTCTCATCATTAAAGGCTCTATTGGACAACCCTGCGTGGAATGTTAAGACACCCCTTCCAACTTATTTTTAACCATGTTCTAGCTTATTTTTTCAGCCTCTTTTTCTTCTACACAGTGTTAACATGCCTCTGTGATCCAGTCGTATGCATCTACTTATTGTTGAAAGCATCAGTCATTCAATCAACAAACTTCACTGAGCACCTTCTATATGCTAGGCACCAGTCTATTGGAAGCACAACTGTGAATTAAAAACAAAACAAAGCAAAACAAAACAGCTGTCATGGAGTTTATATCAGTGGGGCTTATAAACATCCAAAATGTTTAAAATGTAAAATCTTTTGGCAAAGAGTACTAGAAAGAAAAATAAAATCTTGTAATGTGTAAAGAATGATGGGTGGGTGGTTAGATGGGGTGTTCAGGAAAGGCCTTTTAGATAAAGACATATTTTATCAGAGGCCTGAATAAAATGAGGAAATGAACCATGCAGCTCTCTGGGGTAAGTGTAAGCTAGTCATTCTACTGCCTTCAAGCTTTTTGCTACTCTTAGCTTTGTGGAAATATTAATAAAGGTCATAGCGTTATTAAGTGGTAGCCTTTTATCTTGCTCTAAAGTTTTTTTGGTCTCAAGCCAGAATGTCATCGGAATCATAGACTATTAAAGCTAGAGACATCTATAGAAATCATCTAATCCATTTTGTGATTTTTAAAAAGGAGGTACCTAAGATTTAGATAGGGTAATTGATTTGTTTTAAGTGACAAAGTGAAATAATGGTAAATGGCAATTAGAACCCTGGACTCTTAGTATTTTCTGAATAGAACTGAGTTTTCTGAGTAATGAGATCCAGATGAAGATGACATCTTGAACCTTTTAAAAACTTTTGAAAATGTAATATTTAATTAATACTTTATTTTGGTTTTCTTCAGAAATTTGTTGATGTTGATATTCAAATGAACCATTTGTTTTTCTCTTTACACTAATATTCCATATGGTCATTGGAAGACATATTTACAATGATATACACATGTGGCTATCTTTTAAATTTTACTTTCCCAATACTGTAAAACATTTATTAGCATTATAAACATGATACACACCTATATATATATGCATGTGCATAGTGGGTATATGTGTATATCTGTCATAATTCAAATATCAATTTCATGTTCTGCCTTTGTATTCACAAAACTCTAAAATTTCTTTGTGTGTAGTCCTAAATGGCATAAAGTCATGAATTTTAATTGAATTATGGCTTTATTCCCCTGATGGGATCCTGAGGAATTGCTCTAAGAACTCACGGAAGGTGGCTTAATGTTTTTTTGTTTTGTTTTGTTTTGTTTTGTTTTGTTGTTGTTGAGATGGAGTCTCGCTCTGTCGCCCAGGCTGGAGTGCAGTGGTGTGATCTCAGCTCACTGCAAGCTCCGCCTTCCGGGTTCACACCGTTCTCCTGCCTCAGCCTCCTGAGTAGCTGGGACTACAGGCGCCCGCCACCACGCCCGGCTAATTTTTTTGTATTTTTGGTAGAGAAGGGGTTTCACCGTGTTAGCCAGGATGGTCTTGATCTCCTGACCTTGTGATCCGCCCGCCTCGGCCTCCCAAAGTGCTGGGATTACAGGCATGAGCCACGGCGCCCGGCCCTTAAGAAGTCTTAAAGTCATCTATGATGGGTGAGTGCTCAGATTCCTCTCCTTTGTGGGGTGCAAGTTCATGACAGATTCCTCAAGGTTAATAGCTTAGTAGTATAATTTTATTGCAGTCACTATATTGTCAACGCATAGTAATCTCGTAACATACATCTTTATTTAATAATTCTGAAAACATTTTGAGCACCTAACTTCAGCTATTGAGAATAGATATAAAATTATACATTATGCTCTATAATTTTAGGAAAAGAAATTATCTTGTTACATCAATAAATCTTTCTTTTACATACATCCTTTCCATATAATAAATATCCATTTCTCTTTCATATGTCCATAATTAAATGCCTTAAATGAATAAAATATTTCTTTTGAAAATACACAAAATGATTTGTCCAAACATGTAAAATGCATTGTATGGTTCCAAAATCTGTTTTTCATGTTATTCTTTGGGGTGTGATCTGTTCCTGATTAGTTTAATGTTTGTGCCTTAATTGTAGTATATCCTTAAGGAAATTGAGTATCGGTAGACTATTTATTGCAGTTGAAGATATAGCAAAAGAAATAAGTTTCTAGGAGGGAAATACCTACAAGTGAATGATAATACAGTGTTAGTGTAAAACAGTCTTTCACTAAAGAATATATATACCATTATTTACTCAAAAAATATTCAGCAACAATTTTACCCACAGGTGAAATGCACTGGAGTGTCCTAATTTTGTATCATGTGTCCATTCTGCCATTCTCAGGCTAATGGCACTCTTCACGACAAGCCTGATTGCACTGTTAAGCTCCAGAGGAAAAAATGTGGCTATAGAGTATATTAAAATACATACAATTGAAAAGGAAGATGTTCATTTTTGCAAGCAGAAGATTACCAACAGAATGCTAAAATTAAAGGTCAGTTTTAGAATGAGCTCTCATATTATGGAGTTTACGAACAAACTATGTATTATATAAGAAAAGAAAAAACAATTTTATACCGAAGTAGTGCTTTCAAAAAAGTATTTTAGTTTTCTTATAGAAAAGTAGAAAAATGAAAAATACATGAACCCTTTCTTAACCCTAATCTATGTTTTTTAAGAATTTTTAAAATGTTTCCTGTGTGAACTAAAGAGGCAAGAAAGTGAAAAGTGTTTTTTAAAAATGGAGACACTATGGGAAAATATAGGCAAATGAAGGAGTACAAATAGAAAATGTAATTTTATTGAATAACAGAAAAGAAAATAGTGCAAAACAGCCTCTCTATTCTTTTGTTCTTGGTATCAAAGCTTTTATTCCTGGTGATTGGTGGAATCCTTTTGGTTACTAAGCTCCCTTGAACAAAATCTAAAATCATATTAACTCAAATTCTGTGCTATTACAAACCATCTCATCTCATAACAGGACTTTAGTATATTTTTCTTAATATCAAAGAAATTATATGGGCTAAATAATTCTCAAAGCACCACATAAAGTTTAGGTATTTCTTTAGAAGAAACAAAATATATGTTCTTTTTCACATTTGTGTTTGATTTTATTATAAAATTTGACAGAAGAAACCAAGGAAATGGAAAAGAGAAACCTCTAGAGACTTTGTATTTTCTTAGCTGACAAAAAAGCTTCAGTTTTAGCAATTTTTCTTTCTCTATTTCCTTTTTATAAGGTCTGACTGAAACCAGACAAGAAAAGAATATTACGTTCTGTTTTTGGCTTTTTAGGTTTTTTTTTTTCAGCTAAAAGAAAGATTTGAAGTGCCTTTACAAGGTTATTTCCAAGGTAATTTTTCTTTTATTTTTAAATAACAAATTTTTTGAGATTCAAAATCAACATCCAGTCCATACGCCACTGAATATAAAGTTCCCAGTGGTGAAATACGCACGAAGTTAGCCTTGCCAGACTGTGACTGACAAATGTGGGGATAAGGAAAGGAAAGATTTGAAATATAAAAATTCCAAGACTAAGCTTTGGGCTTTGGTTTTTGGTGATGAGAGTTAGAGGCACAAGAGAAATCAGTTGTATTACAACTGTAAACAACACACACCTTGCTTTGCTTTTGTGTCTGCCTACATGCTTATAGTCCTAAAGATTTATGGGAAGTGCAGAAAGAAGAATGCAAGGCCTCTTTTAATATAATCAATCCTATTGCCGTCACAGAAGAAAGTATGTTACCTGTGATAGCAGCTTAACGTCACAAAGTTTCCATCTTAACAGTACAATCCACAGCTTGTATTGCTCTAAGGAGCCATTTGGATAGTTAATATGGAGGGTGCAGAAGTAAAGAATGTAATAATGCTATAATTGTTCTAGTGAATACTATGCTTAAGTGATGCTCAAATTAAGATGTTTGACCAACAGAACTCTTTCTTGAATTCCAGGTAGCCATGATCTTTGCACATACTTTTAATTTAAAAAAAAAGATTTTTAAATTTTAAATATTATGTTATCCAGCAACTCAGATCTCCTTGAGGTTACCAATAGACATGATTCATTTGCTGTTGCTGTTCTTTTCTATATCACACCATATGACATTTCTTTGAAAAGTCATAATCTTTTCATTTCAGCGTTAGCAAAACCATCAAATTTAAATCATTGATAGTAATCCTTAAAAGGTTTTGAGATGATAATGACTCTATCTGTGAAGTATCTAGTCATTTAGTTCATTTCAAATACCAATTATCATTTTGATTTACTTGAGAATAATGAATGTAAGAAGCTTTGTGGTAATTTTTATGTGGGTGGAAAAATATAGCATGCACTCATGAATGTCTTGGTATTTGTTTCAGATAGATTTTTTTATTACAGCACATGGTAAAAATTATGCCACAAACTATAAATAAATTAATTATCATAGATAATGCTCCCATACATAACATTAGGTACTTTAAGTAGCTAGGATCAAGGAGGCAGCAATGCCCTGACTTTTTTTTCTGAAAGCGAGACAGTTACCTGCATTTATCTGGTTTCTGATTTTTTGAATTCCCCCAGAAAGTGGGAAGAATTTCCTTCCTTTAGAATCTTGAAATCTGTGTATATAACCCTAACTAATATAGTTTAGTTTTGCCCTGTTTTGAACTTTATATAACCAAATTTTGTGGTATGCAGTATCCTATGGTGTTATCTTCACTGAATAACATGTTTATATAAAATTCACCCATGTTGTTGGTTGTAGCTTTTGATTTTCCCCTTTATGCTGCATAGTATTCCATTATATGCTTATACAACAATTTATTAATCCATTTGATTGTGTATTTGGTTGTTTGGTGGGAGGTATAATAGTGCTGCTATGATCAATCCTATATATTTTCTATAATACATGCACAAACATTACTGTATGTATGAAGCGGAAGTGGTGACTCGAATGTATGCATTCAAAAGTTATTACAGCAATATATGCTTTTGTCTGCAGTTTTAATGATTCTGGGTGCTACATACAGTAAGAATCAACTGATGTTTTCAGGCTTTATGATTGTTGCAAACTGGTGGCTGTTTAGTGGTATTGTGATTTTAATTTGGAATTCCTTGCTTACTAATAACCTTGAACACCATTTGGGTTTATAGGGTATTTAAATTTTCTCTTTTTGTAGTTTCTCTTCAAGTCTTTTGACCATTTAAAAACATTGTTTGCTGTGGTTTTTTGATTGATTTTTTTTGAGTTCCTTTCATATTCCACTTTTAAATCCTTTGTCAGTGTTATGTGTTGCAATTATCTTTTTCTGTGCTGTGACATCCTTTTACTTTCTTCATCTTTTTTTGATGAACAGTTTAAAGAAAAAAAGAAACTTACTCACTTTAAAGTACTTTTGGTGTTTTGTTTATTTTTTTCCCCAAGATTATAAAGATACTATCCTGTTTTACTATGTTATTCTCTTAAGCCTTCGCAGAGTTTTTTATTTGCTTGCTTTTGCTTTTTAATTATTTTTTGACATATACGTCTATAATCTACCTGGTGTTATTTTTGCCTAGTGTGATTGGTTTGGTCCTGTTTAATTTTTTTCATGTAGATACCTAATTATCCCATTTCTTGAGAAGTCTGATATTTCCATACAATTCTTTTCTGACAAATCTACATTGCTTCTTTCTCATAAGTAAAATATCTATAATGCATGGGTCTGGGTTCAAGCTCTCCATTCTGTTTCCTTGTTCCATTGTCTGCCTTTGTGTCAGTACCAAACTGTCCTAATTATTGTGGCTTTATAGCAAGCCTAAATATCTTATAGAGTATTTGCTTCAATCCTGTGATTATTTTAAAAGATCTTGACCATTGATTTCCACATAAATATTTGAATTAACTGGTCAAATTCCACACATACACCCTACTAAAAGTTTGGTTTATGATTACATTAAATTAGTCTACAAATTAGGAGGAGATTCAGATCTCTGCAGTACTGATTTTTCCAATCCATGTAATACTATGTATCTGGATTTATTTAATTCTTTAAAATTCATCAATAATTTTTTTTTAATCTTGCACATCATTTATGTATTCATTACTGAGAACTTGATAATATTTTATTAATAACATGCAAAATGATTTTCATTGATTTATTATTGGTACGTGTGCTACAGCATTGCTAAATTCTTGCTAATTCAAATAATTTAACTATTCCTTACTGGGTATTTTATTGAAATATAGTCTTATTATTTTTCTTAAAATTTGTATAAATTTTTATTTTCTCCTCTTGCCTTACTACACTGATGGCAGATTCCAGCACAGTGTTCATTGAAATCCATATTTTCTGGTTCCCAATCTTGTCACCAATCTCAAAAGGAAAACTTTCAAAATTAAATATATTTTTGTAAAGCTCTTTAGATCTTCTAAGTCTAAGGAATTTCTCCATTAGAGTCTGCTTACATTTTTATAATGAGTACTACAATGTTTTGTCTGTCTGTATTGAGAATTCCATGTGATTTTTAAAATATCTTAAGATGGCAGAATACAAATATAGATTTACCAATATTGAGACAACTTTTCTTTATTGGTATAAATCCAACTTAGACATGATATATTATCCTTTTTATGTAATTCGTCAAATGTATTAATGCTTATAAAATTATAAATATTAGTAAATTACAAAAACTGCTAAGTATTTTCTTACATGTATTCATAGGTGAGATAAAACTATAACTTTTCTTTTTGGTTTTGTCCTTGTCAGGTTGTGGTATAGAAGGTGCATATCCTCTTTTTCAGTTCTCTTAAATGATTTATATATATTTAAATTGTTTTTGAGATTTTAATAAAAATCTCTAGCAAAGACATTCAAGCCTGCTGCTTTCTTTCCAAGAGGATTTTTTAATTTTAATACAATTATTTCATTAATTGATTGTTATTATTACTTAAATCAGATATAGATGAATGTTAATGGTATAGGAACTTTAGGTTTTGCATGTTTTGAAATAGTTTTGTTCATGTGTAATTGTTTAAAGATTTGTCCACTTTTGGCAAAATTTTGAATATCTTGGAATTTTTTGTTCATAATAAACTATCATTTTGTGATATCTACAGGTCATCTGTCTCTTTTTAAGAGAAAAATAATATCCAAAGAAGTTCCACCACTCAGAAGACTTTTACATTCCATGTCTCATTTGCCAGAATTTCTTCTTACAAGCTGTAAACCAATCATGGTTAGGGTAATGTAATTACCTTGATTTGTTTTTAAGTGATAGAGTTTTCCTTCCTTTTTGATGATTTTACTAGGGAAGTGTGAACACTTGAACAACTCAGTCAGCAATAAAGAATGAGGTTAGGACTGGATTTAGCTGGACAATCAACATTGTCTAATATAGACAGAAAAGAGAAAAACAGAGAGAAGAAAAGTGAGTTCGTTTAATTTGTTGCTTAAACTGATTGGAGTTGGAATCCCGACCCCTTGTAGCTGGAAAAGTCCTGATTACTTTTCCTGATTGCTTGCAAAATAGTGGTTCTTTATTTCTTATTTTGGTTATAGTTTATTTACATAATGTGACTTGATATCTGAGGGATAATTTTAGTTTTTAAGCCCAGTTGGGATGCTGTAGAATCAGTGGAGAATGAGCATGTGATATTTTAAGGAATGATGTCATATCTTTACCTGAGCCAGTTTGAAAGTGCACTGGGACTAAGATGAGACACTTTCTTTGCTATATTAGTATTCAGGAATGCTAGTGGCTATGACAAAGAGGCCAAAACAATAATGGTTAAGACAAAATAGTATTTTATTTTTCTAAGTCTGAAGTATATATGTTAATACTTATACTAACTATATACAATATATCGTTATATATAATAATATAACAATACTTATATTAACAATATATTAAATTGCTTAATTTCACAGGAAGGTGAAAGAGAAAGTGATCTTGAGAGCCCAGATTGGAAGTAGGATACATCCTTTTGTATGCATACTATTGAAACAATTTATTTAAATGGCTACATCTAACCTCAAGGGACACATGCAGTATAGTTGGACATGGATATACATAGCACTTCCATTATTGAAAGGAAGAGAATTTATTTTTTGGTAAACAACTTGTAGTCTCTGCTCTACTGCCAGTCATTGTTTAAAGTTAGCGTATATATCAGAAAAAGAAAAAAAAATTCTTAGAACTAAATTTTGCAATGTTTCTAACAGTTTTTCTATGACACTAAATATTTATAATATGATATAAGTAGAATAATGTTTCACAGTTAAAAAAACTAAAACTCCTACCACTTGTATGTCTTCGTAAAAATGTCATTTTGCATTGTATAAAACGTTATATATTTCCAATTTTCTTTCAAAACTAGTATGTACTCTTGGTTTTGATGTGAATACCAGCCATTTCATCACTGGGTTATCTCTATTTATGTGGTGATGGTAGCAAGCTTTTCAATACTCAGGAAACTTATTTATCAGTGAAATAGTCCTTCACAAATGTTAAGTCAATTGAGAGTTTTTAGGTTGTTTTTGTTCTTGTTTATTATTTCTGATCTCTACTTTCATGGATGTATTATTGTGTTCTAATGAGGTGAGGCTAATCTGACAGAATATGAATACAGTAGAAATTAGATAAAAGATATTATAAAAGTAAAAATACCTTGCAGAAAAGGAAACATCAATATTTATTATGTTCATTTGTATTCTGTGAACTACATCTAAAGAAAATACTCTTTAAGATTCTTTGTAGATTTTGTACTGGGTGAAACACTGTCAAAATGGAAGCACATTGTTGACACACAAAAATGTTAAATTAAAACAACAACAACCAACACTGTGTCATCATACTCTCATCTAATTGTTATCAAAGCACCATACTGACTTTAATGCTTTACTCTTTTAGATATATTTATCAAGAAATTAGGCTCAAATTTTGGCAACATTGCAACAGTGGAAATCCTATTTTGTTTTTTTCACTTAACCTAATCAAATATGGTTCTTAGAAGGTGTTTGTTTCAACAAAGTATTATATGATAATTTTTGCCTAATTTAGTCCCCTTTCTTAAAACATTGATCATGAGTAAAAAAAAGTTTATCATCCTGCCTCTTAGTCTTCTTGTTATTTTCTTTTTAATAGGAAGATGACATTACTGAGGTTATTGAGTTTACTCCTATTGTTTTTAAATCTTACAAGAAATTACTACAATTTCTAACTTAGTAAATAAAAACCAAGATAAATTCTTTTTTTGTAGTTATTTATTTATTTTAATAGGCTTTAATTTTTTGAGCAGTTTTAGGTTTACAGCAAAACTGAGTAGAAAATACAGAGATTTTATTTACACTTATTTATTTTAATAGACTTTAATTTTTTGAGCAGTTTTAGGTTTACAGCAAAACAGAGTGGAAAGTAAAGATATTTCCTGTTTACCTACTGCTCCCACACATGTGTAGCCTCCCCATTATCAATATTGTCCAACAGTTGTAATGATTGATGAACTTACAGTGACATCATGATCAGCTGTAGCCCATAGTTAACATTAGGGTTTATACATGGTGGTGTGCATTCTGTGGGTTTGGATAGATTTGTAATGGCATATATCCACCATTATAGTATTATACAGGGTAGTTTCACTGCCCTAAACATCCTCTGCACTCTGCCTGTTCATCTTCCTTCCCTAGTAACCTTTGGCAGCTACTGATTTTTTTTTATTTTTTTATTTTTTATTTTATTTATTTTTATTTTTTTGAGACAGAGTCTCGCTCTGTCGCCCAGGCTAGAGTGCAGTGGTGTGATCTCGGCTCACTGCAACTTCCACCTCCCGGGTTCAAGCGATTCTCCTGCCTCAGCCTCCTGAGTAACTGGGATTACAGGCGTGCACAATCACGCTCAGTGAATTTTTTTGTATTTTTTGTAGAGACAGGGTTTCACCATGTTGGTCAGGCTGGTCTTGAACTCCTGACCTCGTGATCCACCCGCCTCGGCCTCCCAAAGTGCTAGGATTACAGGCATTGTGAGCCACCGTGCCCGGCCGCTACTGATCTTTTTACTGTCTCCATACTTTTTCTATTTTCCCGAAAGTCAAACAATTAGGATTAAAGAGTAATAGCCTTTTCAGACTGGCTTCTTTTACTTAGTAAATGCTTTTATGTTTCCTCCATTTTTTTTAATGGCTTAATAGCTCATTTCTTTTTAGCACAGAGTAGCATTACTTTGTCTGGATGTGCCACCATTTACTCATCTATTCACCTACTGACTGACATCTTGGTTGCTTATAAGTTTTGGCAATTATGAACAAAGCTAATATAAGCACCTTTGTGTATGTTTTTGTGTGGACATAAGTTTTAAACTTTTTTGGATTAATACCAAGGGAGCATGACTTCTGGATTGTGTGGTAAGAGTGTGTTTAGTTTTATAAGAACCCACCAAACTGTTTTTCAAAGTGTTGTATCATTTTGTATTCACATCAGCAATTAATGAGAGTGTCTGTTGTTCCACACAGTAAACAGCATTTAGTGTTGTTAGTGTTCTGGATTGTGGCCATTCTAATAGCTGTGTGGCAGAGAGGTGGTGGTATTGCATTGTTGTCTTAGTATATTTATTTATATATATATAATTTATAGACTTATTTATGAGCATTTCTACAAAACAATGAAAACATTAACCAAGATGGTATATTCTCTATCCTAGTTTTTGTTTGGACTGAGCAATTTTTGTTGTCTATTATGTTGTAAAATTATTACAAATAACCATATTTGTTCCAAATCAAATTAACTGTTAGTTTCATTCTTTGATACCTGGGTCAGCAAAATAGTCCTTGAGTTATTAAGCCATAAACCAATATGCCCACTCTTCAGAATAGTAGTGTTAGAAATATTTATAAAATTGCTAACCTAAGGGTGGTCATATTCAGTAATGACAATTTTTTAATAAAATTAAACATCTATATTAATTTTGTATTGGTTTTGTATTAGTCTGTTTTCACACTGCCAAGAAGACATGACCTGAGACTGGGTAATTTATAAGCAAAAGTTAATTGACTCATAGTTCCACATGACTGGAGAGGCCTTAGGAAGCTTACAGTCATGGTGAAAGGCAAAGGGGAAGCAAGGCATGTATTACATAGTGGCAGGAGAGAAAGAGTGAAGAAGTAAGTGCCACACTTTTAAACCACTGGATCTCCTGAGAACTTATATCAGCAGAGAACAGCACAGGGGGAACCACCCCCATGATCCAATCACCTACTACCAGGTCCCTCCCTCAACACGTGAGGATTACAACTGGAGATGAGATTTGAGTGCGGACATAGAGCCAAACCATATCAGGTATCAAATATTCAAACATTTATTGCCCTCATGTAGCATTTCCTAACATTAACTTTTGGAACAGGCTATTTTTGGCTCAATTAATTTATCCTAGAGAATATTCATTTTGGACACTAAAAACAAGTGTTTTCTTCTTAGTCTTTATTCTTTATGATGATCAACCGAATATTTTCACTTAAAGTACTAATCAGCATGCAAAAGCTTAATTTTTTTTCCTCCTATTCTACCTTCTCATCCTCCTCCTCTTGTCATTGTCTTCTCTTTCTTTAGCAATAATAATTGCAGTGAGGAAACAGCCATGACAGCCTATTTTAATAGAAATGACATATTTGATTAAAACTTGATTACTTTTAAAAGAATATTATTTATACTACTTTTCAGCTCCATTTTACATCTTTATCATCTACTTTCGTAGCTGTCTTAACTGTCAATGTATTGGCACCCTTTACCCATACCAACTCAATAGTCAAGTATAATAACCAGGATGACTATTTATGTTTTCCCTTTTATCATACTAGTTAATTTTAGCATTAAGAAATATGAAGCCTCTGTACTTAGTTCTTAAGTTTCAGTATGGGTCCTCACACTTTTTGGTCTGACATTACATTATTAGAAGTTGTTGAGACCAACCCCAAACACTTTTTTAAAGTTTGTTTTTCTGGCTTCTATCTAACAGTGTTTACTGTATTAGAAATTGAAACAAACATTTCCAAAACATTTTTATTGCATATTAACATAAATATTATGGAAAATAATGTCAGTTTTGAAACAAAAATGAGAAAAGTGGCATTGTTTTACATCTTTGCAAATCTCTTTAATATCTGCCTCAATAGGAGATTCATGGATTTGTATATCTCCTTCTGCATCGGTCTGTTGTCATGTCGTATGTCATGTAGCCTTTAGAAACTTCCCCTGCATTCTTGTGTGAGAAGAAGAGTGTTAAAAGCAAATAATGCCTTATTATTATAAGAAAAATACTTCTGACCTTGTGGATCCCCCGAAAAAGTGTTGGAATCTCTAGGAGTCCTTTGACCATACTTTGAGAACCACTGCTACTGAAAAATATTATCCTGCTGATTCAATACATCTTGCTTTTCTCTCAGCTTCACATCTCTTATGATCAGTTGCTTGTGAATTTTTACATTCCAGTGCTACACTAATGGATTTCTGATGATATCTAGGTCAAAGTATGGTGTTAGAGTTATCTCTAACTTTGCATGTGTAATTCCTCTGCTAAGGAAGCTTTCACTCATCTTCCAAACATTACTCAGATGTCACTTTCCCTGTGATACATTTATCACTTGCTTATATTTTTCTTTTAATGTACTTCACAAATACTTTTCCTATTTCACAACCAGTCAGGTATTAATTACAGTTTGCAAGCCAAGATGTGTTTAAAGTATTACTTTATTTCCTTTAAATAAAGTTGATTTTTACTATTATACTCTGGCTTTCTAAATTTACAGGAAATTATATCTCCAGTGTGGTAGGTTCTCCTTCCCCAACCTAATGTCCATTCAGAATCTGAGATGCCTACTTTGTGCGCAAGGAATGGACAGGAGTTTCTGATGACTGGTGATGGTCCATACTGACATTCTCACTGCCTGTGCTTACAGTGGTTTATTCAACTAACACTTTTTAGCTGTTCCCATGCCATGTGTGAGGTGTCAAATCTCTGCTGTGCCTGGTGACCAGCCAACGAACATTCTTCTTTGAGGCCTTGAAGCAATGTCCCATTACTGTTTGGATCTGTACCTCTGGGCCCCACCAAACAATAGTTTAAGGGGAACCTCAACTTACTTCTTGCTTTTCCAAGACTCTTATTATCTTGCCACAAAAACTATTATTATCAGTAGGTATAGGACTTACAAAACAAGTGTTCAGAATTCTGACAAGCTAATTTTAATTTATTTTTAGTTATATACCTATTCCAAGTACATGAGGCTTGAGGCATACTACTTTCTTGAAGAAGAGGCAGAAAAAAGGTAACAATCTGGGAGAGGGAAAAGAGCAATAATTAATATACTAAAGTTTACCCAACCATACATATATTAGACATATTATTTTATTTGGTGAGTATTAGCTTTGTAGAATATACACGCGTGGATGGACACACATGCCAGTACTAGATGTGAAGTCCTGATGTAGGTAGATTCTAGTGCCAAGCATAGTGACCAGCATTTATATAATAGGACCTATATAAATGTTTGTTAAAGTCATCTAGAAAAATATAACTAGGTATTTTTAACTACAAATACATTGTTTATATCTTAATTCTCTTTCCTTTCTCTTTTTTTAAGAGGTGGGTTTTTAAGAGATGGGTTAAAGGCTGTAGTGCAATGGCTCTTAAGAGGTGGAATCACAGTGCACTATAGCTTCAAACTCCTGGACCCAAGCATTCCTCCTGCTTCGGACTCCTGAGTATTGGGGATTACAGCCACGTGCTACTACGTTGGCTTTGTCTCTTAATTCTCTTTGAAAAAGGATGTAAGCTATAACTTGTTCTTTATTATTTGAATTGAGAAACTGAAGGACTAAAAGACCACATATAAAATATTGATACCCTTCTTTAAGGATTTTAATATACTAAACAAGTTTTTAATATACTAAGAACATTTACTGAATATCAATGCACTTTAGACTCTTTATTGAGGTACTGATAGGAAGTATGCAATAGGTAGGCAATATGTTTTCTGATCCAGAATTGTTTATAAAGTAAAATTTCCTTGCCAGTGCTGGAAAATTATACCGAACTAGCATACTGAAGTATGCACACTAATCTATTTGTCTACTGGAGTTTCTTCTGAGCATTAAATGAAATGATATTTTAAAATAGCTAATACAGTATGTCATGGCTGTTAGATTCTGCTCGATAAATGACAGCTATTTACTTTACTTTTTTATTTCCCTCTAACTATAGACCTTGTGGGTGTATAGCACAGCTAGCTATTATAGAGCTATGAGGAATACCAGTACCTGCTGCTGCCAATAATTCCTTGATGGATTATCTCATAAAACTAGTCCCAGATTTCAAAAATTTGTTTGAATTTAGGAAATGAGTTAATATTCTTAATTGTAAGTATCATTTTTGATTTCTACCACACAGATTTTTTTATTGGCATCACTATTGAAAATACTTCCTTTTGTCTG
The DNA here is from genome assembly GCF_000001405.40 of Homo sapiens. Lineage (NCBI taxonomy): Eukaryota > Metazoa > Chordata > Mammalia > Primates > Hominidae > Homo > Homo sapiens. Next base: position 133,103,547 of record NC_000004.12, on the reverse strand, counting down.
ACAATAAATCAAAACAAACCCTCATTGTGTTTATGTGCATGGTTACATTAAATATGTTTTAAAGGTCTCTTTTCTCTGAACTGGGTCTAAATATGTTTTTCATTCTTAAATAGTTACAGGAATAGATGAGCTTTTCCTCTGTTTTCTTTACCAAATGGTAGTTCTTTCAATCCCAAGGTTTGTTCAGTGATCACTATCATTGAAATTCTGAGATGTATTTCACTTTTATACTCACTGTTAACTTGCCTAACTTAGTTCATCTAAGCTTGTGTGCAGGTCAACTTTGACAAGTAATTTAGAAGGTTGTCATATTTGACATGAAACTCCTGCGATCATGGATTTTCCACTCTATTAATGCTGTCAACTGAGCTGTTTTCTGACATTCTAAAATAAATGTGAGCTGTATTTACTATTATTCATAAGACAGATCACTCAACTCCTCTGAATGAAAAATATTTTACTGGCTAGTAAGGAAAGTTATATTAAAAAAATTTAGTGGGATGATCATTAAAATCCCCACAATGTAATTTAATTGGAATTTTCTTTGGATATACTTAAATTTAACCATTGTGTTGTTCTTTCTTAGGCTAAATGAATACAGCAATAATTTTTTAAAACTTCAAGTCAAGAGGTTTTAGCCTGCCTTTGTTCGTTTCCATTTTGAATCAGCAAATAATTTCTCTAAAAGTTGCAGTGTAAATGTACCATGGGAGGCAAGCCTCTGCCTCCCCCTACCGCTTGATGGAGAGGGAAAACTCTGGAATGAGTCTTTAAATTAAGCAGAGGCTCTCTTCCAGAATGAAAGGTTTCTGTAGATGTAGTTCCAGGAAGTTTAACTGTTTGCAATAAAGTGAGTGCAGCAATCTATTAATCAGCGTAGAATAGTGGTTAAAAGCAGGTTCTTTATAGCCAGATGTCCTGGGTGTACAGTCCTGTCTCTACCACATTGGACCTTGATTAAGTTACTTTACCTCCCTTTGCTTCCATTTCCTCAATTGTGAAAGGGGGATAAAAATAAAGCAACCTGATCAAGTTGCTATGAGGCACAAATGAATGAGTTTTCATTTCTTATTTTTAAAACATTAGGAATTATGGCTGGCACACACAGTAAACCCTATATGAGTTAATAATTATATAAATACATGAAGTTATTTATTACTAAGGTATGCCAAGTACTGGGTTTAGAGAAGAGAGACAGACATGACTCTTGTTCTTAGGAAGATTATAGTCTGGGCAGCAGGGAGTCGGTACACGTGAATAGACTGAGATGGAGAGGGAGGGTGCCACAAATTTCTGCAAGTCAGTATACTGTAATGACCTATTGTCCTTCGGCATTTGTGTTAATTCCATATGCTTTACTCACATGGCCTCTGCTGGGGCTTCATTTTTTCCACTATGAACAGCGAACTTACTCCGTTGCATACCCTCACAAGACAACTGCCATCAATCTATTCAGGAATGATGGTGTCCCCTGCTCATCAATACATTTATTAATGCCTCGGAAAAGGAAAACTCTTAGTCATTATTTCTTTTAATTTTTTATGATCCTATTAATTATTATGCTCTTTATTGATTTGTTATCACCCATATTCTTCTAGTATGTAATCTTTCCAGCATGTTAGGGTAAGTCCTTCTCTGTCTTATTCTCTTTTAATTCTGCAGAACCTAGGATAGGTTCTAGTATATGGAGGCACTTAGTAAGGAATGCATGCATTCATGCATGAATGAATATGCCTGTGTTCTCCCGTGTAAATGTTAATGTTGGATAGATTTCCAGAAATTTGAATTGCTTTATCTAAAGTTAGGGACATTCTAATTTTATGATGTACCATCTAACTATCCTTCAAATGGATTTTACTAATGGACATTTTCATCAAATATGTATGAGAATGCACATTTCTATAAATTCTTACCAATACATGACCTTAGTTGTATTATCAGTCAATATGTGAAAAATATTTCTATTGATTTAATTTGTATATCCTTGATGATTGGTAAATTTGAGCATTTAAAAAATATATATATTTTTTATATGTATATATATGTATACACACACACATATACTGGCACTTTACATTTCTTTCTCTGTAAATAGTCTGTTTACACAATTTGCTCATTTTCTTATTTTTAAAAAATTATTGATTTGTAAGAAGTCATTTTGTTCTATTGATGCTATTCATTATATATTGGTTTGTACTCTACAACCTTTATAAAATCTTGTGTAGTTATAGTATTTTAACTGTGGTTTCAATTGTATTTATGATATAGTATATCTTCTTATTTTTGAATAACAGCCTGTTTTCTTTCTTTCCATTTTTAAGCATTCTGTGTTGTTCTTGCCTACCGCCATAGCTTGTACTCCTATATTCTTCAGAATAGGAAAGGCAATCACCAGCTACCTTGTCTTCTCCTTGATCTTAGAGAAAATGTCTTAATTATGTTTTTATTTGTCGGTTGTTTGTTTTTGCATGCTTTTTATCAAGTTTAGGAAGTCAATTTATTTTTCTAATTTGCCAATAGATTTTTTTAAAGTAATGGATGGATGTTTAATTTTATCACCATTTCTATTGAGAGGACCATATGATTTCCTTTCATTAATATGCTGATGTAATGAATTATATTAATTGATCTGTAAACATAAATAAACATACTTGCACTCCTGAAATGAACCCCACTTTGGCATAGCTATTTTATTGTTATTGTTTTTAAACTTTGATTGACCTGAGTTTGTCTATATTTTGTACCTAAATTTTGTACCTAAATTTAATCATGAGTTTTGATTAGTCTTTCTTGTGATGTTTTCATTAGTTTTTAATTTCAAGTTTATGCTAATAAGTGATATTTCCTTTCCTTTTTTCTTTTAATTTCTTATTTTCTGTATATTACTATAATCATTAATACATGATTATATGTATATGTTTATATATATATGTGATTTCAACAACTGTGAAAACATCCCTAAAATCATAGGGAAAATTAATTCTTTTAGTACTATTTGTAAAATAGAACCTAAATTTTCCACTGATGTAAAATGCCATTTTCTTATAATATATTAAGGACAGATGCTTCTGTGTTCTTTTCTGTTTCATTGGTCATCTTTCATCAATAATATATTCCTTAATAATGACTTTTTAAAATAAAAACTCTTTATAGCTAAAAGACCATAACCCCATCTCTAACATTTTGTTTGTTCAAGACTATCTTATGGATTAAATACTTAAATGTAAAACCCAAAACTGTAAAAACCCTGGAAGACAACCTAGGCAATACCATTTAGTACGTAGACACGAGCAAAGATTTCATGACAATGTTGCCAAAAGCAATTGCAACAAAAGCAAAAATTGACAAATGAGATCTAATTAAACTAAAGCGCTTCTGCACAGCAAAAGAAACTAGGGACAGAGTAAACAGACAGCCTACAAAATGGGAGAAAAATTTTGCAAACTATGCATCTGACAAAGGTCTAATAACCAGAATCTATAAGGAACTTAAATTTACAAGGAAAAAACAAACAACCCCATTAAAAAGTGGGCAAAGGACATGAACAGACACTTTTCAAAAGAAGACATACATGCAACCAACAATCATGAGAGAAAGCTTAACATCACTGATCATTAGAGAAATGCGAATCAAAACTACAATGAGATACCATCTCACACCAGTCAGAAGGGCTATTATTAAGAAGTCAAAAAATAACAGATACTGGCCAGGTTGTAGAGAAAAAGGAATGCTCATACACTGTTGGTGGGAGTGTAAATTCTTTCAACCATTGTGGAAGACAGTGCAGTGATTCCTCAAAGGCCTAAAGATAGAAATGCATTTCACCCAGCAAACCCAGAACCCAATACTGCGTATATACGCAAAGGAATATTAATCATTCCATTACAAAGACGCATGCATCCAAGTGTGCATTGCAGTACTGTTCACAATACCAGAGACATGGAATCAACTAAATTCCCATCAATGACAGACTAGATAAAGAAAATGTGGTACATATACACCATGGAATACTATGCAGCCATAAAAAACATGAGATCATGTCCTTTGCAGGGACATGGATGGAGCTGGAGACCATTATTCTTAGCAAACTAATGCAGGATCAGAAAACCAAATACTGCTTGCACTTATAAGTGAGAGGTAAATGATGAGACCGCATGGGCATATAGAGGGGAACGACACACATCGGGGCCTTATAGAGGGTAGAGGTTGAGAGAAGGGAGAGGATCAGGAAAAATAACTAATGGGCACTAAGCTTAATACTGGGGTGATGAAATAACCTGTACAATAAAGCCACATGACAGAAATTTACCTATGTAACAAATCTGCACATGTACTCCTGAACTAAAAATTTAAAATAAAAAAGACTATCAGGACTGGACATGGTGGCTCAGACTATAGTCCCAACACTTTGGGAAGCCAAGGCAGGAGGATCACTTGAAGCCAAGAGTTCAAGAAGAGTATCTTGGCTATGTTTTTGGCATTTTGCTCTTTCACATGAAGTTAATAATACATTTTCCAGTTACAGAGGGGGAAAATACTAGAATTTGAATTAGAATTTCATATATTCTATCTATTTATTGGGAGAGAATTGACATCTTCATGATAGTGTGTTTCTCTTTGTTTTCCATGAATATAAATAAGACTTTATTTAGGGATTCTTAACTCTCTTTCAATATTATCTTAACATCTTCTGCATTATGGCTGTTTCTTCTTTTGTTAAGTTTATTTTTAGCATTTCACACTGTGTATTGCTATTTATAATGCTATTTAAAATAAATTACCTAGCTACTTCGTGCTTGAAATACATTTAATTTTTGATAAGCCCTGTTACTGAATGCTTACCACTTCTAGTAACTTATCTGATTATTTTTTAGTTTTCAATTCTGATAATTATATGAATTTCGAATAATTAGAATTTTGTTTCTTTTTTTTCCAGTGATTTTCTTTCCCCCTTTTTTGTGGCAGACCTCTGTAAGATTTTGAATAAAAGTGATGATAACAAGCATACTTGTATTTTATATTACTTCCAAGTTAATGATAGTAACTGTTTCTCATTAAAAATAAGGTTTGCTTTAGGTGATTATTTGAACATCCCTTTTGTCAGCCTGTGTAAGTGCCTTTCTATTCCTAGTGCACTAAGTTTTCACTTGTTAACAATATTATTATGTATAAATTTCAGCAAATAACTTTTCTACATTTATTGGGATGATTTTATATTTTTTCTTTTAATATATTACTGTACATTCATGTTTGTAAAATAAACTCAGTTTGGTCATGTTGCACTTCTTTATGCTACTCTTGGTTTGATTTTCTAATACTGTTTTTAGGATTATTATAGGTATGTTCATAAACGAGAAACGTTTATTTTTTGTATCAATTTCAAAGTAAGGTATATGCACTCTTATCTAGTCTCTAAATTGCCCTATGTATTGAAATATCTTATCCTTGAAAGTCTGTTTGAATTGGCCTATACAAAAATCTAGGCCTGGTGATTTTTGGATTTCTTTTTTTAATTACTATGCTAGTTTATTTAATAGTTATTATAGTACAAGTGAGGCTTTATTTTTTTCTTAATCAGTTTTATATTTAAAAAATATATATTCAGTTTCACTTAACTTTTCAAAACTGTTGACATAAAATTTGTTTATTATACAATATGATTTTATTTAAATCTCTAGTGTATCTATTTGTCTATCCTTCCACCTGACATAAGTTGCCATGCTTTTTTTATTAGCCCAGCCAAAATTTATCGCTTTTAGTCATTTTTTTGTGTATGTTTGTTATTGTTTAAAGAAGCTATGTTATATTCTTTCTTTCTTTTAGCAGGGAGCTATAAGAAAAGCAAAATCTTAGGAAAACATGACCAATGTACAGAAAAAAATAGAAGTGAATAGAGAAAAATTAGTAGGTACATATGATTGGAAACACCTATTTCTAGATTTTAAAAACTATGAAATCAAATTGAAGAGAGATTTATGTAAAAGACGGAGGTCTTAAAATTTCTCAGATAATGTGAATAAGCCTTAAAATAATCACCAGATTCAGCGTATGATATTCCTACTTAAGCCTATTTTCTAATAACTATCCCTGGTAATTTGAAATAATGATCTCCTGAAAGGGGCAAAGGAGAAAAAAATAGTTAGACTCTAGAGTTTTGTCTACGAAGGATCTTTATGAATGGCTTATTAGCACATGAAATTGACTTGAAAGAAATACATCCAAAGTCTATTAAGTTTTTGAGGAAATTGTTTTCTCAAAGAAATCCTGAGCTAGGAGGAAAATTACACTCAAAGCAATCCTCTGGCCCCTACATTTTCATAAGAAAGAAACAACGAGTATAAGATGGATAGTTCCCAAGGGTAAAGAACAAGCAAGTGTTTCCCAGGGAGCAGAACCTGAGGTCATGGAGAACAATAAACAAGGAAGTAACTTTTAGCCAGGAATGTGGGTCTCATTAAGGAACTTTCCCCACAGAGGGGCAAATCATGTGTGTCTCATTAGGGGTGCTTTGTAAGACCTACCCAGCAGGATTGTATGGTTATTATTATCAGGTGTGTGTTCTGTGTTCTTTTTTCCCTTTCTTAAATGTTACTTGTCTACTATAGTTATCTTATCCCTGCTCTACCACTGACAGCATACATAAGACTGATTGTTTTTATATCAGGCTTTGCAGGACCACAACAACCACTCCCAGTCATGATGGAGAGAAGTGTTCAATACCCACAGATCCTGAACGTTGAGCTGATTATACTAACTAGATGGGACTTAGTTTTGTCTACCGTGGGGTGAGCGTATACTACCTGAGGGAACAGGTACACATGAATATTTATTATTACAATAACTGTTTTTGCAGAACTTGCTTACTGCTTACCAACATCCTGATTCTCCTCTTATTGATGTTAGAAATAGACTTTTCCTAGCTATTCTTGCTTTTTTGTGTGGACATTTCCTGAGGTCTAACCAATGAAGTATGAACACAGTGGATATATATCATTTCTAGACTTGACTCATTAAAAACTCCCATGTATGGTCCTTTAAGCTTTATTTGCTCCCTGTCTAGTGGAATGGAGAAGACTGTCAGGGAAGTCTTGGATGGCATAGGGTGAAGATGGCAGAGTATCTGTTGGCCATTTGGAGGAGAATTGTTCTCTGATCTGTTTACTCTTGTAAACAAGAAATACATTTCCATTATGTGCTATTTCATATTTTGAGTCCATTTGTTGCAGTAGCTAGTTGATCTTGCCTAATAAAAACAAGATTATTGAAGAAGTAACCGTAAGCACATGTATTAATAAATTCATCCTGAATGAAACATCATTTACTTCTAGCTTCACATTATTGTTTGTAATCAATTTTACAATAATACTTGTATAACTATGTGGTCCTAATTCAATGTCTAAATCACCAAATTATTTTTTATGGTGAAAACAGTAAGTTTTAAGTGAAATAATTAAATTCAGCATGAAAAGAGCTAAATTAAAAGAATATTTCTGGCTTATGTCATGATCTATTAAAGTGCATTTTATATAATCAGAAATCTGTCCTACTCCTTTCCTTTGGCTTAGATTTTCTCTATGTTGATTTCTTTTCTGCACAGGTTCTCTATGGTGAAGATGGCAACTTGCTGACTCAGTCTCAGAATGCGTTAAATCCACATATTCTGGCAAGTGGAGTTCTGCTTCTCCAATATCTCTTCCAGACTAAGTCTCGAAAGGACAGTAATTGATCCACCCTGAGTCATATGCCCATGTCCAAAGCAATGAGTTTGGGAAATTTCATGACACACTCCTAATTTTGTGGTAGGAGACACATCAGAACCACACAATGAGTCAGTCCTATTTATGAAATAGAGGTTCATCTATCAGATGAAAGGGAAAAAAGTTGTAAAAACAAAACAGATGTTCACTAATGGGGATCTATCTGAATTTCACCTGTAACTACAAATGCTCACAAGTAGATTTACAGTTTTCCTAGAGTGTCATGAATTTAAAAACATATGCATGGAATCATAAAGTAATATCCTAATCACCTCTCACAACCTTTCTCTCCTTAACATAAAATGAGAATATTTTAGCAGCAGGAGAAGGATTTTCATTTATAGACCTTTATCAGACACTAATGTAGGATTGAGTTTGACCTGATACAGTGTTCTATCTCTGAGTGTTGTCACTCAGTTTTATCATAAATAAAATTTATTTTATATGATATCATATAGAGAACAAATTTACTTATTTTTCTCATGTAATCATGTAATCAATTGTTCCAACATAATCCATTGAATAGATATTGTGGCATTTCCCTAATTATTTATAAAGGCACTGTTACTAGATATGAATATTTATATATGAGGATATGAATCGTGGCTCTCTGATTTGTTCATTATTTGCTTGTCTATTCCTGTGCCAGTATCATACAATTGGTACTAATATAGTGTTCTGATATTGACAGGATGAAGTGCTCCTTCTAATGATGTAGCTTTAAATTTGTCTTGGTTGTGCATTTCTTTTTATTCTTCCATAGAGATTTGTGGTTCAGTTGTCAGCTTTGAAAATCACTTTTGGGATTTGAATTTGAATTGCATGAAATTTGTAGACTAACTTGTAGAAAATAGACATTTTTATGATATGAATTTACACATCCTTGTAACCATGGGTGTGTTATTTATTTTCACTTTTGAATATTATTGTGGGTATTTAGTAATAAAAATAACAATCGACGAGTTACATGGTGGTTACTATGTGACAGATGTTGTCAAAGTTCCATCCATATATCAACTTATTATATATTCTTATGGGAAGAGACCGTTATTATCTCCATTACACAAGTAAGAAAATCGAGGTACAAAGAGCTTAAGTAACATGTGCTAAGTCATATAAGAGTAAAGCTTTATTTGAATCCATGCAGTTTGTCTCCAGAGCTTGAAATCCATTTTATTTTATTTTATTTTTGCTTTTTAAAAAAAATTTTTTTGAGACGGAATCTCGCTTTGTTGCCCAGGCTGGAGTGCAGTGGCACAATCGCGGCTCATTGCAACCTCCACCTCCTGGGTTCAAGCAATTCTCCTGCCTCAGCCTCCCGAGTAGCTGGGACTACAGGTGGGCACCACCACGCCCAGCTAATTTTTTGTATTTTTAGTAGAGAATGGGGTTTCACCATGTTAGCCAGGATGGTCTCGATCTCATGACCTCATGTTCCACCTGCCTCGGTCTCCCAAAGTGCTGGGATTACAGGCGTGAGCCACTGCATCCAGCCTGAAATATTTACCAGTATCTGATATTGCCTCACTAAGAACTTTGCCCAACTCCTTAGTGATTCTACCATTGGCTTAGTATTTTGGATTTTCTAGTAGACAATAATATCGTGTGCATAAAGCAAATACAATTATTATTACAATAAAATTTTTAAACTACTCATTTGTACTTGCTTTCATAAAGCCTTAGCTAATTCCAACAAAATATTGATTACTGTGGGAGAGAGTGGTAAATCTTATTTTGTACCTAATATTAAATAAAATGCTACTAAATATAAGTGAGATGCTTGCTATAAGTTTTAGTAGTTAAACACTATAAAGTTATTTCTTGTCTATTTTCAAGAATTTTTTATTATTTTAAATGCATGTGCAATTTTTTTAAAAAGTATTGTTTTGCATCTAATGTTAAATAAAATGCTTCTAAGTATTAGTACTAAATATCAGTGAGAGGCTTGTTGTAAGTTTTAGTAGTTAAACACTATAAAGTTATTTATTTTCTATTTTCAAGAGTTTATATTATTATAAATGCATGTACAATTAAAAAAGTCTTATTTGCTCTTCTTTTCTAATGTTAAAACATTTGTGCTTTCCTGAGATGAATGCTGTGCTCTCATGAAAGATTGCAGAGTCAAAAAGTAGCCTCTGGAGTTAAGACTTTCTGGTTTTAGAGCCTCCTATGGCCACTTACTAATTATGGGTCTTAGGAGAGTTACTGAACCTTCATAATGGGTACCAATCCTAGATCCTGTCAAAAGGGATCCTTCTCTTGGCGATGACTTTGGAAGATCCTTTGCATGACAATAAAAAAAAAAGTATTATTAGATCTAATTTATTAGATAACACTTGGGTGTCTCTAAGTGTTATGGTGGTAAACGTTCAACAGGCTCTCAAAAATGCATATATGTATATGTTTATATAGATACATATACACTCAAATGTGTATATATGTATATATACACACTAATATGTTTATCATAAATTTTATTGATATAAAGGTTGTGTAACACAAGTTACAAATAATAATAAAATATTCAATATTATTTATTGTAAATTCTGTATAGCCGATTGCTTTTCATAGAATGCTTTCATTGACTTTTGCTGAACTCCTGTATATGGAGCCAGCTTACAAGTGTATTCACTAACAAGTGTAGTCCTGGCATGAATGTTGGTTGATATTTTCATTTACATTAATAAGACAGTGAAATAACACAGACATGTATTTGAACTTCACTTGTTCATCAGTGATGTGAGCAACTTCTTTGCCGAATTAGATAATAGGTTTAGAATAATGGAATAATATTTTCTCATTTTTTTTTCTACTAGCAAGGTAATAGCTACAGACAAGACACATTTTTAGGCTTAATGCACGTTATTAACATTTTCTCTATGACTTTTTAAAGTCTAGACAACAAAACAGTAAATGAAACCCTGATCTATAGTATTCGCCCTGTTTTTTTATGTAAATTCTCCCAACATGGCTAATTTCAAGCTTCTAGTGTGGGAGGACATGCACAGTGCACACCATTATATGGTAGCCCCATCTCACAGGTGAGATGAGATAAATAATCTCAAGAGCATATAAAACAGCAAACTGTATTAAAGTAATTAGGAATTGATGAATTTTGAATATTCCTTTACTTTTAATATAATTTATTCAAATATAAGTTTATAAAGTTCAATTTCTAGTAGTATCTATATTAAAAATTGGCTTGCAAAATTTTTGAAAATTTAACAGTTCTTGGGAGCCTGTGTGAACACACTCCAACACGTACATCCCTGGCACATCTGCTGGCGGAATACAGCTCCCACTGCTGCCATATGACAACCCATTGCACTAGACAGATACTTTGCTACACCTTTCAGATTCCAGAAAAACATTCTTCACATCTCTTGGCCTATGTTTTAAACCAAAAAGGTGACCACATTCATTATGAAATGTATAGATTGGGCTGCTCCCTTTGTTGGATATGGACTTTGCTCTTGAGCACAAGGAGGATCTGAGAAGCAGAAGTGCAAAGGAAAAATAGAAGACACATTAATTAACTTGACAAATCTTTCCTTCAGAAAGGACCAGAGCAATAGGTTTTGCACAATGGCATATCAAGTTAAATAGTACAGACCTTCTTTCTTTTGGGGCTGCAATTCATGGTTTAGAGTTACACATTCACTAATGTTACACAAAGCAAAAAAAGAAACATTTTGCAACTCTCAACAGTTGAAATTATCTTGAAATTGTGTATGTGTCCTCTACACAAAACATGAAAGACAGGTAAAATCATTGACAATGAAATGACCATTGAACATTTAAATTGCAAATAACATTGTCTTATAAAATACACATTAATATTTAATTAAAATTTAAAAATAAATGCATAAAATTACATTTATTGAAATAATATGATTTCAAATACGGATATTTATTAATTGTAACTTGTATTTTATCTTTAAGTTGTTTGGTATAAATGTTTACTGAACTATGATATACTTCGAGAAAAAGTACACCAAATTTAAATGTTAGTCTCGAATTTTCACACGAGAAAAGCACGTTTGTGGAACCACCACCGGATGCAGAAACAGAACTTCACCAGCATTCCAGAAGTGTTCCACATTACGCTGACCCTTTTGGAGTCACTGTCAATTCCAAAGAGTAATCTTTATGCTGACTTCTTACATCAGAGGTTACTATTGCTGCTGTTGCTTCTTTTCTATGTATGAAACTCTACAGCCATCTTTTTGTGTGTCTTGATTCTTTCTCTCAGCATTGTTTGTGAGATATATTCATGTTGTAGCACAAAGATTTAATAGTTCATTTTCCTTGCCATATAGCAGTCCATTGCTTGAATATGCCACTATTTCTTAATTGTTTTATTGATGGACATTAGAATTATTTTCCAAATTTATGATAAATATTAATACTATGAATATATGTTGTATATCTTTTGACAAATAAGTTTTTAAATTTCTGTAGATATATATGTAGAATGGTAATAATGGAATCGCAGTGCATGTGTGGGTTAACCTATGGAACTACAGCCTAACTATTTTATAAATAGTACTAGTTTGCACTTCCATCAGCAGCATATGAGAGGTCAAATTTCTCTATACACTATACACCTGCTAACACTTGAAATTTGTTTCGTTTTTCATTTTAATATTATGGTGGATATACAGTGGTATTGCAACCTGTTTTACTTTGCATCTCTTTAATAACTATGACTAACGAATTTCAGCATTTTTCATATATATAAATTTGTCACTTGGATTTTTTTTGAAGAGTCTGTGTTTTTCCCTTTTGTTTTCTACTTTTTCATATTGATTTTTAAGAGTTTGTCTTTATTTCATTTATGTTTTTGCTGGATATAACAAATATATATCCAACAAAAATAAATATTTGACATAAATATTGAAGATGTATTGATTTTAATATGCAAATATTAAATATTTTTGCCTTTTTTTTTTTTGGAGACAGGGTCTTGCTCTCTTGCCTAGGCTGGATTGCAGTGATGCAATCATGGCTCACTGTAGACTCCACCTCCTAGGCTCAAGTGATGGTCTCTCCTCAGCCTCTCAAGTGGCCAGGCCACAGGTGTGATCCACCACTCCTGGCTAATTTTTTAAGTTTTTGTAGAGATGGAGGTCTCATTATGTCGCCCAGGCTGTTCTTGAACTCCTGGACTCAAGCGATCCTCCCAAAGTGCTAGGATTACAGTTGTGAGCCACCATGCCCAGACTTTTTTCCATTCTCAATAGTGTATTTTGACCAAATAAATTTTAATGTAACCCAAGGTACCATTTTTTTATATTATTATTATTTTTCTTTCATAAGAAATCCTTGATAACCAAGATCAGAAGTATAGTTGCCTATACTTTCTAATAAAATCCTTGTTGCTTTCCTTCTATATTTAGATCTATAGACCATCTGCAGTTGACTTTTGTTTATGATATGAGGTGTTAAGATTCATTTTTAATGTGACTGCCTAGTTGATTCAGCACCATTTTTAGAATTATCTTCCTTACCTAATGTATTGCGCCGTTGCTTTATTATTATATGACCTTGCATGGTATCTGTTTCTAGACCCTATTTAAACACTTTTAAAATATTTTTTAGGCTTGTCAATAAAACAGTTTGTAAATTGTAGTAGTTAATAATAAGTCTTGATACCTGGTAATGTAGGTTCTCCAGCTTTCTCCTCTGAGATTGTCTTTGTTACTCTTGGCTCTTTACATTCCTATATATACTTTGGAAACAGTTTGCCAACTTCTATGTAGACACACAAGTACCCACACAGGCACCAACTTGGATCCTGATTAGGATGGCATAAAAGCTATACATGAATTTGGGGAAATTTATATTATTAAAATACACTTCCAATTCATGAATGTGCTATATTCTTCTAGTTAACATTTTGACTGATACCTATCATTAATCTCATGAAGTTTTCAGTGTACTGGTTTGCACATTTACTTTTAGATATTTGATTTTTATGCTATTAAAATTGTATTATATTTAAAATTTTTATTTTTTTTATAATTGCATGTGTTCTATAGAAAGGCACTATTGGTTGTAATATGTTGGATTTGCATCCTGAAACCTAGCTAAACTCACTTATTTTTTTTTTTCTTTTGAGACTGGTTTCACTATGTTACCTGTGCTGGTCTCAAACTCATAGGCTCAAGTGATTCACCTGCCTCGGCCTACCACAGTGTTGGGATTACAGGTGTGAGCCACAGCACCTGGCCTGACTTATTAATTTTAATATTTTGAAAATACTTTTAGAGGTTCTGCAATAATAGTCATGTCACCTGTAAATAATGAAAGTTTTCATACATATTTTAAAAATTTCCAACTTCCTTAACTGCCATTGTTTAAACCTTTTCTTGTCTGGTTGCAGTTGTCTACCACCTCTTGTGTAGTGCTGAACAAATTTTGGTTAGTGAGAATCTTTGTATTCCTCCTAATCTCAGGATTAAGTCTTTTAAAAATTCATTATTAAGAATAAGATTTACTTTCCAAAAGTTTTCTTTTTAATAAATAATGATTTTTGAATAATATCAAATCATTTAAAAATCGATTGGGATAATATTTTCATTGTTTATGTACCAAAATCTGTAACTTTCAAATGCTAAACACACTTAGCATGGATGGAATAGAACCCACTTGGTTGTGATGTTATTTTTCTCTTTCATTGTTTGATTCAATTTACAGATATTTTCTTTAGAGTATTACCATTTGTGCTAATGAGAGAGGTGGTTCTGTAATTTTTCTTTCTTATAATGCCCTTTTCAGGTTTTTGTTTGCAATTTGCGACATGTTGGAAATACTTATTTCTTTCGTTGTCTTCTAGAAGAGTTTATATAAAATTGATGCTATTTCCTTCTTCAATATTTGGATTTGACTAGTGGAGCTTTTTGTGCATGAAGTTTTATTTGTAGAAAGTGTTAGAAATGGATTCAGTTTCTTTAAACATGCTAGATCTAGTATTCTAGTTTTTTTCTAAGTTGTGTTTTCCAAGGCGTACTACCATTTCATTTATATTTTCAAATTTATTAAAGTTTACAATATTCTTAGGTTATCTCTTAATCTTTACAGGATCTATAATGTTCTCTTCATTTAAATTGATATTGGTCTCTTTATTTCTATTTTCTGGACTAGTTCTGCAAATAACTCGTTAAAAATTGTTAAAAATTCATATTTTCAAATAAAAAATCTTTCATCTGAGATGACTTTCTCTATTGTACATTTATTTTATATTTCCCTGATTTTACTTTTATGTTTATTAATTCCTCCTTTCTATTTTCTTTGGTAAGATTTCATGCTGCTTTTCTGCCATCTTGAGATGGAAGCATAGATAAATCATTTATTTTCAACTTTCATTCTTTTATATGTGTTTAAAGGTCTGAGTGTTCCTTTAAGTTCTGCTTTAACTGCCTCTTACAAAACTGGAAAGGTTCTATCTCAGTTAGGTTTCAATTAAAATACTTTTTAATTTCTGTAGTGATTTCTTCTTCAATCTATGCATTCTTTAGGGCATTTGGGGATATTCTAGTTAGTATTTTGTACTGATTTCTTGCTTAATTTCACTGTGGTAAGAGAATATTCTCTAAATAATTTAAATCTTTTGAAACACATTAAGCCTTTCTAAAGAATCAAGAAAATTATCAATTTTGGTAATTATTTTATATGCACTTGAAAAGAATTAAAGTCTGTCATTGTATGGTACAGCTTTCTGTTTATGTCAATATGTTGATGTCATTTATCGTATGTCAATATATATGACAATCGTATATGTCTCTGAATCCTTTGATTCTGAATTTACCCATTTCTTCATTTATTACTGCCAATTATTGGTTCAGCATTTTAAAGCTATATTACAAGGTGCTAATATAATTATAACTGTTATATCTTTTTGTGGACTGACCATGTTATCATTATGATATGGCCCTCTTTGCATGTACTAATGATTTCAATCTTAGAATCTACATTTTCTGTTCTTTTTGTTTCACACCATCTTTTTGTGCTTGTTTATGGTTTTATTTTTAACATCATTTTATATTCAGTCTTGTTTTCTTAGTTTTAAGTCATGTCTGTTAAAAGCAGCAGATATATGGGAATTTTTATCTCAGTTTGAAAATATTGTATTTAATTGGAGTACTTATTTTCTTTGTATTAAATATAAGAAGTGATATATTTAAATGTATATCTATTGGTTTATTGTATGTTTTCTACTTATTCCACTTTTGTCTGTCTTTATACTGTCTTTCTTTTGTATGAATTACATTTTTTATTATTTTATTTTTCTTACCAGTGATACATTCTTTATTACATCCAATTTAGAAAAAAATTTGGTCATTATCTCTTCAAATATTGCTCCTGCTTCATTCACTTGACCTCTTCATTTTAGGTTTCCATTCAACAGTTATGTTGAATGTCCCATGGGAAAAGCGTATCCAGTCCAGCTTACAATTCAAAAACACACGACTGTTTTTTCTGAAGTTAATACCCTAATTTTTAGAAAAGGGCAGAATTGCTTTACTTATGATTACATTATCATCATAAAGAAATATATTTTTAATGGTCGAGATTTAATAAAATTAATACTTTTTACTTCTTTGTCATATGTGAAATTGGCATTTTAAAAAACTGTGTGGGGATTTTAATTGTGGGTCCAAGCTGTGAAGCAGAGTGCAATATGAGTGCTAGTGCAGCTTGGTGCCAGCGCTTTAGTTTGTGTTATGGCACCAACACTTTTAACCACCATTGCTTTTGGACCATCAGTGCAGATGTCAACAAAATGGAAAAGATAAATAGCATCTTAGTATTATGATGAAAATATTTTTCACATATGCAGATGACGTTTTAAGAAATGTTACCTTAAATTAATCAGGGTCGAACTGGATTGAGGTAAGGTTATGTTTTTTAAGGGTTCCCTTCTCTCCCTTTAGCCATTTTCCTTGGGGATAGCTAGTTAGGAATTGCAACAAATTGCAACAAAAGTCTGGAATATTCCCTGGGACCTTTTCTTAGCTGGATCCTAAAGATAAGTCTTTGACTCTTCAGTGTTAACTGATGGTAGAAAGCTCCCTTCTTTCAGTGTGCATTCAACTTAGCTTTGTAACCTTCTACCTCTTGTCACATCAGATTTTGAGCAATAAAGGTAAATCTGACAGCTTGTTTTATGCTGCTCAAATCTCCAACTTTATCTCTAGCACTGGAGACTGCCTAAAGTTCTTCTGATGTCTTTTTGTTCCTCAGTAGTGGTTCTGTCTCAGCTAAGCCTGGATTTTCAATCTCTTGCTGTGCCCATTTTTGGTAAATACCTCTTGGAAAAATGTATATGTAGAATGTCAGCTCAATTTTCTATGATATTCTTCTCTTCAGAATGTTGGCACCACTTGTCCTTCAGGCTTCTGAAACTTTCTGATTTTCTTTAAGAATTTTTTTTTTCCATTTTGCTTGGCTTTTCCTTTTGTTTTTGGTAATAGTAGTACTGAAAGCTATTACATTCTGTTCAGAAGAGGAATATATTGATTGTAGATTTATTTCTTTTTATTCTGCTAAAGATGATGGTATTTCAGTCTCAACAGTTTTCTATATATAACCTTCTGCAATTTATTCTGGGTGATTATGTCTTTTGGAACATTCAGGTCACAAATTTTTTCTTTCAAAAAATAAGTCTATTATTTTAATTATCTGTTGAATTTCATTTTTAATAACAAATATATTTTTATTTTTGAAGTTATATATTTTAAAAATCACTTTCTTATAGTGTCCTTTTTCTTTAAGGTATTTATTTCTTACTAATTATTTAAAACATATTTATTTCATAATCTCATGTTTTTTACAATTTAGAGTCATGGGATCTCTAAATAACCTGATGGCTGTGTCTAATGACAAACTCTCCTAGTGTTTCATTCCTTAAAGTAGATGTTGAATTTTTTTTTTTTTTGGATATTTTACTTTAGGTAGCCTGTTGTTCTTTGGATTGTACGAACTTTGGTAAAAAGTTTTTTTCTTTTTTCTTTTTGCTGAAGTCCTTAGTTGTCTCACCTTTCCCAGACTGATTTTATTTTAATTTCATAGATTAAGATTTCAGCATCAAAAATATATTCCAAATTCAGACTTCACACTGTGCATGGATCAAGATGTAAGTTTTTTCAGGTATATTTTTAAACACCTACTCGCCTAAGTAAGAGGCAGGAGAAGGCATCGAAGTAGTTTTTACACCTTTTAAATTTTTTTTAAATCAGGAAAATACCACTTTGGAGTATGATATACGTCTCTCAGATTCAGCCTACCACCTCATGCTAGTTCAAGGTAGTGCTTCCCATCTTTATGAGCACATTTCAGGGACTTCTAAGGCTGATGCATGAACTCAGATCTTCTTAGACCATCAACTCCCTCTCACAAGCAGAGGCTTTCAATTTCCCCTGTACTTCTGGCCTGTGCTAATTTTGTTTTTCCTCTTACTTCTTTACTTCTTTTTAAAAAAATTTCTTTCCATTTTTCTTTTTCTCTTTTTGAATTCAGCTATGTTTTTTAAAACATTTTTATGTTAAATTTTATCCACAGTACCTATATGTTTGCATTCAGACTGTGGGAGTGCTTTTCTAATTAGCTTAGTGTACCATGCTGATGGACATTTTGTTCACAGCTTCATGTCAGTATTACATTGTCATATATCTCTTATGGCTTTGCTGGCCTGAGGCAGATTACTTATATCCCATGTATTACTTCTATAATACATTGTTAGAGTACCTGGAAAATATAGTCTGCAGATTTTACTCTTCCCAGCATTTCAGTTTGTGTCCATTATATAGTTTCTTAATAGTTTCCAGCAAACAATATTATAGTGCTTGGTAGGCAGAATAATCCCACCCCCGCCCAACCCTTCCCTGCAAATATGTCTATGTCTGAATGTTTAGAACCTGTGGATATGTTAGGTTACATGGCAAGGGAGAATTAACATTATAGATGGAATTATAGTTGCTAGTCTTTCGACCTTAAAATAGGATTATCTTGATTATACTAATGGGTCCAATGGGATCAAAAAGATCATTTAAATGTGGAAGTAGTAGGCAAAAGTGTCAGAGCCTGAGTCAGAAAAGTAGATGCAATGATGGAAGTGAGGTTAGAGTGATACAGTGCAAATATTCAACCTGCCATTACTCACTTTGTAGATAGAAGCAAACCACAAACCAAGGAACCTAGGCAAACTCTAAGAGCTGGAACTGGCCATGAAATAGATTTTCCCTAGAGTGTCCATAAAGGAATGCTGCCTTGCCAACTCCTCAATTTTAGTCCAATGAGACCTTTGTCAGACTTCTGAACTCCAGAACTGTAAGATATTAAATTTGTGTTTTAAGGCACTAAGTTGATAGTAATTTGTTAATAGCAGCAATAGAAAACACACTGCCAATACCCAATTTCTGTTTTAATCTAAAATATTTTGAATGTCAAAGCAGTCATATGTCTTCATGACATGGAAAACAGAGGATTAATGATAAAAGATAGGATTCTTTAGAAATTAACAATCTACAGTAATGGAACACTGTCAGCTTTTAAAGTGTGGCTGTTATAGCTTAAGGGTTTCTGGTTTCTAAGCATGCAGTGAAGGAAGGGAAAACCATGTTTCTACTTTGCTGTTTGTGAAGCTGATCCCTCCTAGATTTAAAAGAACACTGGATATTTTTTTCTTCATGAAATTATTAGACATTTTAATTAAGGTAAACTACTTATAAAGCAGCAATAGTTTTATTTTCAAAAAAGTAAGTTTTCATGATTTTAAAAATATTTTTTCATAGGTATTTTAGTGTGAACTGGGAAGAGCCTGGCAGAAGCTGTTGTCTTTTTATAATTTTAATTGTAAATTGAATATTTACACAATACCAATACCAATTGGGGTAGCATGTTAGGTAGTATCAATATGTGCCTATGGATTTGTATAAGCATATATTTTATCATGATAACTCTGGCAAACTAATTTGCATCAGTATGTAATCAGAGTTGAGGCTTGTTTTAATTTAGATTCTGGATTAGAAAAAATCAGTACATAAATTCAGACCTGAGTGTTTTTAAGTTGCATTATTTCTTTTGAGATACTGAGACATTATTACATATTTATATATGAAACAGTTAAAAATAATTCTGACATTTTTATGTCTCTACTTTAAAAAAAGCTACAACTTACTCCATCTGAAATGCTTTCTTATTCTGCCTCTGTTTCTTTCTCTCTCTTGTCCTCATTTATTAAGTGCCCTGTGAGCAACTTGGGCATGGTCCATCACCTCTAGATATTTTTGTGGAGGACATCCATCAGTTACATTATGCCGATTAAATATGTGTTTGGAGATTGGAAAAAGAGAATGTTCTTTATTATTTCTAATGCTTCCCTGCTCCCCAGTCCTGTATTTAAGAACAGAGTAAAGTTCAAATGACCGCTTTAAATCACTTTTACTTTTTTAAAAAGGTAGAAAAATATAAACAATTTTGGTAATACAAATAATTTATCTCTACAGACATAGAATGTGGTCTGTTAAATTGAACATGTCAAAATGAATTAAAATGCTGGAATATCCTAGCTGTGGTATTAATTGATTAGTATTATACTATTATGTTGATTATGTCAATGACTCATAAGCTGTGCCATTTCTGCATTCATTGGCAGCATAGCTGGTTTTTAAAGGACTATTTCTGGCTTCATTGACATTTGTAGTGACCACAGTTCCTTTCAGTCACTTGCTCCATTTGATGATACTTTCTTTATTGTCTCAGTGGTAAAAAATATTTTCAGTATTCATATTTGAGTACTCTGAACACAGAAAAACTCAGACATTGAAGCAATGGACAATTTAACATGCTTAATTATAATAATTCAAATGGCAAATGATGAACTTAAGTTTTAAATTATGTTTTTCATGTGTGGGTTTAGTAGGGTCTTCTTCCAGCTTAAGAGTAAAGGAGAAATTCTGCCCCCTGCAAAAATTCAAAAACAAAAAATATAAAAAACTCCCCAAAAGATCAAAAGAAAAAGAAAGCAGCCTACTTGGCCTTAAGTTGATTTATGTTTTTGAGCCAGACATGAATAAACAGAAGCAGTAATTATAGTTCATAGAGTATTCAAAACAAAGTAAACATTATTTATTATTGCTTTCCAATTATGCATTTTTAAAAGCTTACTGATTATTTCACAGTCCTGCCACATTAGTATACTTAGACTACTTCTTGTGTTAAAACCAATTAAAATGTATGGATTAAATTTTAATTTGCATTCTATTTCAAGTGCAATAATGTTCTGAAAAATCTTCATATTTCCTCTTAGAAAAAAAATTATCAATCTCAGCTACCAAGTACCAATTAGTATATGATTCTTTCAACATTTTAGAAATTTTCTAATAACTTTCAATTTTTTTCACATTATAAGCAAAAACATGCAAATAATATTTTAGTGCATTTCAATATATATAAATTTGTTATTAACTGTTGTGGCTATCTTATGCATAAAATGTAATCATAGAATGTCAATTTAGCTCTGAAACACAAATCTCTGTATATAGATATTCATACATTAGAAGTAAAGATATTTTTCTTTTTTCAATAGTCTCAGCATTAAACTCATAAAATATGCTTCTTGTGTTAAAATAAAATTATTATGCTTTTTAAAGATGATAAGGCAGACATTATTCAAGGTGTGTCTGTGGGGAGGGAGGACTACTGCCATGGGTCTAGGGACCATTGCAATGGGATTTATCAGGAGTAGAGGGAGGTTGGGCTCAATTCCAAATATAGCATGATCAAATGGAAATTTCAAGCTAAGTAGTTAGGTTGTTGTTGGTGGATGGATAATTACCAAAAGGAAACATTACGGGTAAGAGGAAAATCTAGCTAAACTTACCTAATATGATTCTTGTTGGACATAGGCCACAATGATCAGACATTACCTGGAGGATGGTGGAGGATAAGGACACAAAACAGATGTCTAGGGTGATAAGATACCAAGAGTTGGGGGTTCTTGCTAAAATAACTTTTCAGGAATCATGCTAAAACTGGATTTTACAAAGAAGTGCACATATGGGCATAGGAAAAACTAATGTTCACTTCAAGAATCTGTGACTTGGTGAATTAAACAGTTTTTATATTATTTATACACAGAGGCAAAAGACAATGCACCATACATCTTAATTTCAAAACATTAACTCTGGTTGTTTTGAATAAAATAATAATTTTTAGAAAGGATTCTGCAAGATGATGAAATTTAAGAGTACTTTCTAAAACAAGACTTGGACAAGGACCAATGTGAGCAGAACAACCCAGAGAGATTGCCTAGTTGGAATGCTACCATTCATTCTATCTTCAGCTGATTCTTATTGCTGCTGCTGCTGCTGTCCTTGTTATACTTGACTCTACCACAGGTGGCACAAATAATTTCTAGCTGAACTTTGTATCTTTGCATAGCTTTCTCGTATTTCACATTTCAAAGCCTCGGCAAGAAGAATCTTAGTGGTCATTTATAGGCCAATTTCCCAATCTCTACCTACCAAGGACATGGAAAGAGGACCATCTTTCCTCCAATCTGTCTCATCTTTCCTCCTTCAATCTATGTCTCAGGTCATTTCTCCTGAAGGTAAAATGGACAACCAAATGTATTGTTTGAAATTCTGCCTACTGGAAAAGATTTCCTTCTCCACTGTCCTTTAATGCCACCTAAATATGATGAGACTGCTGTTTGTATCTGGATGGTATCAACATGCGACACCATCCTTAAGCTGTGTTTGAATTTGGAGCCATAGTTGTGATTTGAGAGAGAGGCTGCAATGCAGCCAGAATAGGTAGAACTGAGAATGTGAGCCAGTTCCTCATGCAATTTAGCTGTGCCTGCAGGACATTCTAGGTTTCTATTCTTTATATACTACTTCCACTTGGTATTAATATGTTGCTGGTGTAGGGGAGGGAATGTATCTTTTCCTTCTACCCATCTTAGGTTCATTGAATGAGTCCCCTTTAAGAAAATACAGATTAACAAAAGGAAAGCATACAAATTTACTTAATATAAATTTTATGTGACACTGTGTCCTTCATAAAGAACTGAAGACTGAATAAACAGTTAAACCTAGGTGGCTTTTTTAGACTGTTTGATGAAAAGTAGAGTGTCATGGAGAAGTATCAGGGGACAAAGTGGGTATGAGCTAAAGGTAAGAAACTGGAAGAAATTTAGCAAGGCTTGTTCATTTAGGTTTCTGTGTCCCTCTTTCTCCAGAGATAATGATACTCCTTTCCTCTGGATATAAATAAGGTATCTCTAACTTGAGAATCTTATGACCTGCATCAGGGGAAAGTTAGAAAAGACTTCCTAGGTTTTATGACCTTCAGGGAAGAAAGGTGGGAGCAAGTCACAGAGACCTTTTCACATTTGATTTCTCAAATTCCATCCACTTAAAATACTGAATATACCAAAGTGTCATATTTTGGGGTAGCGTGTCCTGAAGCTCATCACTGGTCATGCCTATCTTTATGGTGGGTAAATCTTATGACACCCAGCTGTTGATGGACAACTTAGCTCATGTAGTCCTTGGTTGAGTCTCTACTGAACAAGGAAGCCTGGAAATGCAATAGGAATTATTTATTTGCCGTGAGGCTGTGGCTTTGGTCTGACATCTAAGTTGCACTTACTATGATTCTACCTTGCATGGAAAGCATTATATTATTGTAAAGATATTCACTGTGAAATTACCAGTAGGATTGATTTGTGAGTTCTGCTTCCATCACAGCCTGGATAAACTGAAGAAATTCTCTTCCAGTATCCTCATAATACTTTCCAAATGATATAACTCATATATGCCATATAAGATTTAAAAAATAATGTTAAGATGCATAAACACAAGTCTAGTGATTGAGAATCTAAAAGCATACATTTTATTTTAGTCATTAATTATTAATCTGATAGCTGGCATTAGCCAATTATCTTATCTTTGTATCCTTATCATTAAAGTGAATTTTCTTATATTTCTGATGTTGTGAGGATTTCCTGTTTAATGTTTAAAAAATACTGCAGCAAATTCTGAGATGTTTACTGTCATATTTTTTTCTGTTGATTCATTTAATTAGGAAAATAGGAATTTGAAGGTAGCTTTTAAATTGATCAAAATGTTTCCGAGTAGGTCAATTCTAAGAGAAAGAACTGAACAAACTGACCTGACTGAGCTTGAGTGTTTTAGCTACCTTTAATCTACACTAAATAAGATAGTGTCTTTAGAAACTGCTGGATAAATTTTAATATGTGTGTTCTCTTTAGTCATGTTTATAAATGAGATTTAATTTTGCTTAATTTGCTTTCTTTTGCTTTTTTTATGATATGTTGGAACTGTGCTAAGTTTATATTAATATCATGAACCCTATAGAAACTAGTCAAGCATAGGAGAGCTTTAAGGAAATAACACTGAGGGAGATGCCCATGTGGTTTTGTGGATAGATCAGTAGGAAGCAGTAGCATAATTTTTCATAATCATGTATCAGAATGACTGCCCTTCCTTACTGGATAAATTAAATCTGTAATGGTCTTGAGAGAAGAGACATGTCCTGCTGAGCTGTAAAGGATTGATGTGGAGGAAATTAGGAGTTTGACTCATTGCAACTGAAATTAGTGGTTTACAATATGCAGTTGGTCAAACATATACTTGTTTGGATACACAAATAGATACTAGCTATTAGTATCAATCCAATATCAATTTTCCCTTAAGGACAAAGAAAAGCCATTCTGAATGAGATGTCAAAATTTAGAACTAATTAGAGAATACCACTGGGAAATTTTTAAAATATAAATAAGAAAGGAAAGGGTTTTATGACTATCCAGTTCAAATGGAAGTTCTTGTCAGAAAGTAAAATTTAATCTGAGAAATGAAGAATGCAATGGGGCATATCAGGAAATATTATTGTGACATGTGTACGACTCCTATGATTTACAACATATTTCTGGGATAACTTCAGTTTTATGTTAAATAACCAAAACAACTCTTTTTATTAAGTAAGTAGTAATGCCAATTCTATTATTATTGCAAACTGTAGATAGTCAACTACCTATAGGTATTCAGACTTCATAACAACATCATAATAAATGCATGTATTTGAATATTTCTGGAAAAGGAGGCATGGTATAATATACTTTTTCTAAAAATTCAATTTATGAAAAATAAGTCATAGCTTTATAGACTCAATTTCTAAATTGCCTTTACATGCAAAAATATTGCTTTTATTTAAAAGATATCCTTTGAAATATGTTTCTGGACATAAGCCCTTCTGATCCTATGCTTTTTCATTTCTCCATCCCCTGCTTAACACCAGAAGTCCTCAGCAGAGTGAAACTTCATATATAATATTTTCTACAGACAAAGTTACCATCAATATCAACAGCAACAACACGGCAACAGCCAACATTTACAGAACTTTTATTAAGTTCCAGTCACCGTGTAAGTACTTTGCAGGAACTCTTCTTTTCACTTCTCACAACAATCTTATGAAGTGATTTCTATTGAAACTGAGACTCAGACAAATGGAATGAATTGTGAATTGGCCAAGGTCATACAACACCTGCCAGTTCAGGGATCAAAAGCTGTCTGACTCCGAAGTCATTATTCATTTAAAATCAGAGTTGAACCTTTGTCTTCTGTTTCAGTTTCTGCTTTTGTATAGCAACCCATTTTACAATTTAGTGGTTCTAAAGAACAATCACGTTTACTATATCTTATTTTTGGGGGAGTTGACTGGACTGAATTGAGTGGGTCTTCTGCTTCACCTATTGCTTCCTGGGGCTATAGTCAGTAGGAGTTTCAAAGACGGGAACACATAAGATGGCTCACATAACATGGCTGGTAGTTGGCACCAGCTGTTGACTGAACGCTTAGCTGGGGCAGTCAATAGGAGCACTTTGGATGTCCTCCATATAACTTTCCTACATTCTCTTTGCATGATGAGTGAGTTCCAAGAAGGAACTTTCTAATCAAGTTAAAGCAAAAATGGCAGATCTCTAATGGCTCAACCTAATAAGTTGTATAATGTCACTTCTGTTGTGTTCCAGTGGTCCAAGAAAGTTGTGGGTCCAGTCCAGAGTCAAAGGGAAAGGAATTAAACCACCTCTGATATGGTTTGGCTCTGTGTTTGTCCAAAATTTCAGGTCAAATTTTAATCCACAGTGTTGGAGGAGGGGCCTGCTGGGAGGTGATTGAATCATGGGGGCAGACTTCCCCCTTGCTGTTCTCCGATACTGAGTGAATTCTCAGGAGATCTGGTTGTTTAAAAGTGTATAGCACTTCCTTCTTATCTCTCTCTTTCTTCTTCTCTTGCCATGTAAGATGTGCCTGCTTCCCCTTTGCCTTCCACCATCATTATAAGTTTCCTGAGGCCACCACTGCCATGCTTCCTGTACAGACTGTGGGACTGTGAGTCAATTAAACCTATTTTCTTTATAAATTATCCAGCCTCAGGTAGTTCTTTATAGCAATGTAAGAACGGACTAATACAGAGAATTAGTACCGAGAAGTGGGGCATTGCTATAGAGATACCTGCAAATGTGGAAGCAGCTTTGTAACTGGGTAATGGTCAGAGACTGGAAGAGTTTGGAGGACTCAGAAGAAGATAAGAAAGTGAGGGAAAGTTTGGAACTTCATAGAGTCTTGTTGAATGGTTGTGACCAAAATGCTGATAGTGATAGGGACAATTAAGTCTAGGCTGAGGGGGTCTCAGATGGATATGAGGGACTTATTGGGAACTGGAGCAAAGATAACTCCTGTTATGCTTTATCAAAGAGACTGGAGGCATTGTGCCCCTGCTCTTGGTATCTGTGGAACTTTGGACTTGAGAGAGATGATTTAGAGTATCTGGTAGAAGAAATTCCTAAGCAGCAAAGCATTCAATATGTAGCCTGGCTGCTTTGAACCACATACACTTATATGAGTGAGCAAAGAGATGATCTGAAACTGGAACTTATATTTAAAAGGGAAGCAGAGCATAAAAGTTGAAACATTTGCAGCCTGGCCAGGTAGGAGAAAAGAAAAATCCATTTTCTGGGGAGAAATCTAAGCCAGTTGCAAACATTTGCATAAGTAGATAGGAGCCAAATGTTAATAGCCAAGACAATGTGTAAAAGCCCTAGAAGGCATTTGAAAGACCTTCACAGCAGCCCCTCCCATCACAGGCTTGGAGGCCTAGGAGGGAAGAATGGTTTTGTGGGCCAGGCCCAGGACCTCACTGCCCTGCATAACTATGGAACGCTGCTCTCTGCATTCCGGATTCTCCAGCTCTAGCCTTGGCTAAAATGGCCCAAGATATACCTCAGGTTGAGCTCCAGAGGGTGCAAGCCATAGCCTTGGCAGCTTCCACATGTTGTTAAGCCTGCAAGTGTGCCAAGGGAGAGTTGAGAGAGCTTGGAAGCCTCTGCCTAGATTTCAGAGGATGTATGGAAATGCCTGGATGTCCAGGCAGAAATCTGCTGTAGAGGCAGAGCCTTCATGGAGAACCTCTACTAGGACAGTGTAGAGAGGAAATGTGGGGTTGGAGCCCCCACACAGAATCTCCACTGGGGCAATGCCTAATAGAATTGCCAGAAGAGGGCCACTGTCTTTCAGCCCCCCGGAT
Organism: Homo sapiens; assembly: GCF_000001405.40. Lineage (NCBI taxonomy): Eukaryota > Metazoa > Chordata > Mammalia > Primates > Hominidae > Homo > Homo sapiens. Next base: position 133,076,173 of record NC_000004.12, on the reverse strand, counting down.
GGTAGATCCACAGACAGCTTGCACCATGCACCTGGAAAAGCTGCAGGCACTCAACATCAGTTTGTGAAAGCAGCTGAGGGGCTGTACCCTGCAGATCCTCAGGAGTGGAGCTGCCCAAGTCTTTGGGAGCCCACCACTTGCATTAGTGTGGCCTGGATATGAGACATGGAGTCAAAATATATTATTTTGGAGCTTTGAGATTTAATGACTGCCCTGCTGGGTTTCAGACTTGGATGGGACCTGTAGCCCCTTTCTTTTGGCCAATTTCTCCCATTTGTAATGGGAGCATTTACCCAATGCCTGTACTTCCATTGTATCTTGGAAGTAATTAACTTGTTTTTTTTTTTAATTTTACAAGTTCATAGGTGGAAGGTACTTGCCTTGTCTCAGATAAGACTTTGGACCTGGTATTTTCAGTTAATGCTTGAATGAGTTAAGACTTTGGCGGACTGTTGGGTAGGCATGATTGTGTTTTGAAATATGAGAAGAACATGAGATTTGAGAGAGGCCAGGGACAGAATAATATGGTTTGGCTCTGTGTCCCCACCCAAATTTCATGTTGAATTGTAATCTTCAGTATTGGAGGAGGGGCCTGGTTGGAGGTGATTAAATCATGGGGACAGACTTCCCCCTTGCTGTTCTCCTAATACTGAGTGAGTTCTCATGAGATCTGGTTGTTTTAAAGTATGTAGAACTTCCTCCTTATCTCTCTCTTTCTCCTTCTTCTTCTCCAGCCATGTAAGATGTTCCTGCTTCCCCTTTGCCTTCTACCATGATTGTAACTTTCCTGAGGCCTTCCCAGCCATGCTTCTTGTACAACCTGCAGAACTGTGAGTCAATTAAACCTGTTTTCTTTATAAATTACTCAGTCTCAAGTAGTTATTTATAGGAATGTGAGAACAGACTAATACAACCTCTTTTGTGGAGGTGTGGACATTTTAATTTGCCATGCTTCTGATTTACTGCATTGTAGGTCATGTTGATTTCAATAAAAAATTCATTTAGTATTTACATGTTAGCATAATGACGTTAAAATTTCCTTAGATATATAATTATTAACTTGTTTTTTTATATATACTTGAATCAGAAGCATGAAAGGTACCTAACACGATTGCATTAACTAACCTTTTTGTAACTATATGTTTATTGGGATACTTTGTTGGCCTACAAAATGAAACTTTTGTTGCTGAAAAACTAGAGCTATTTTAAAACATTATTTTTATCATTATGTTCTTAAATTTTAGTATTGTCCATCTAATCTGGAAATGTTATTTATATTAAACCATTTATTTCTGTTTTTTGTGCTATTTTTATATTACATTTTTGGTCTTCTTTGGCAAAAAGTTTCACACAACTTTCACTCATGCCAATGTCAAGAAAATGATAGACCTATTATTTTTCCATAAAGAAGAAAAAAATGACACATTTGGTTTCACACATTGTATCCATGAAAACACCATGAATAATGGCTGAAAATATGCGTGCCTTTATGAATTATTTAGTAATTGCACAATTAACAAAAATAGGACTAATTCACATATTTATGACTTTAATCATATTATTTCATGATATTGCTAATAAACCATCAAAAGTATGCCAACAATACTGGGAGGTAATGAAATTATTTAGGTTGTAAATAATGTGATATAATAGATTTAAATAGTTATATAACTCTAACCAGTATGGGAAAAAATACACTTTTGATCTAAGTATTATTGAAAAAAAAAGCCTGGAGAATGAAAGCGGTAGTAAGTAGAGCTTAAAATAATAAAATAAATGTTAAACAAGTGTATTAGTCCGTTTTTGCATTGCTATAAATACCTGCAACTGGGTAATTTATGTAGAAAAGAGGTATAGTTGGCTGATGGTTCTGCAGGCTGTACAGAAAGCATGATACTGGCATCTGCATGGCTTTTGGGGAGGTCTCCAGAAACTTATAATCATGGCAGAAGGCAATGGGGAACTGAACACTTCACATGGCTGGAGCAGGAGTACTAGAGAGAGCGGGGAGGTGCCACACACTTCTAAACAACCAGATGTCATGAGATCTCACTATTGTGAGGATAACACCAAGGGGAATGGTGTTAAACTATGAGAAACTGCTCCCATGATTCAATCAGTTCCCATCAGGCCCCACCTCCAACTTTGGGGTTTACAACTGGACATGAGATTTGAGTGAGGTCACAGATCCAAACCATATTATTCCACCCATGACCCCTCCCAAATCTCATGTTCTTCTCACAACAATCCCTCAAAGTCTTAATGTATTCCAGCATTAAGTCAAAAGCCTAAAGTCTCAACTGAGACCAGGAAAGTCCATTTTGTCTATGAGCTAGTAAAGTTCAAAATGAGTTAGTTACTTTCAAGACACAATGAAGGTACAGGCATTGAATAAATACTTCTGTTTCAAAAGAAAGAAATTGGTCAAAAGAAAGGGGCTGCAGGCCCCACACAAGCCTGAAACCCAGCAGGGCAGTCATTAAATCTTAAAGCTCCAAAATAATCTCTTTTTACTCCTTTTCTTACATCTAGGGCACACTGATGCAAGTGGTGGGCTCCTAAGGACTTGGGCAACTCCATCTCTGAGGCTTTGCAGGGTTCAGCCATCATGGCTGCTTTCACAGACTTGCATTGAGTGCCTGCAGATTTCCCAGGTGCACCCTGCAGGCTGTTAGGGGATTTAACTTTCTGGGGTCTGGAGGATGGTGGCCTCTTCTCACAGCTCCACTAGGCAGTGCCCCAGTGGAGACTCTGTGTGGGGGCTCCAACCCTACATTTCCCCTCTGCACTGCCCTAGTAAAGTTTCTCCATGATGATTCCTCCCCAGGCAGGCTTCTGCCTGGACATCCAAGCATTTCCATACATCCTCTGAAATTTAGGCAGAGGCTCTAAAACCTCAAATCTTGTACCCTGTGTACCTTCAGGCTGACCACCACATGGAAACTGCCAAGGCTCATGGTTTGCACTCTTTGAAGCAATGGTCTGAGTTGTATCTGGGGCCCTTTTAGCCATGCTGGAGCTGAAGTGGCTGGGATGCAGGGAACAGTGTCGTGAGGCTGAGCAGGGCAGCAGAGCACTGGGCCTGGACTATGAAACCATTCTTCTCTCCTAGGCCTCCAGGCCTGTGATGGGAGGGGCTGCCACAAAGGTCTCTGAAATGCCTTCAAGGCCATTTCCCCATTGTCTGCACTGTTAGAAATTGCCTTCCTTTTAGTTATGCAAATTTCTGCAGCCTGCCTGAATTACTCCCCTGCAAATGGATTTTTCTTTTCTTCCACCTGGCCAGGCTACACATTTTTCAAACATTTATGTTCTGCTTTCCCTTTAAATTAAATTCCAGTTTCAGGTCAAGTCTTTGCTCATTTAAATGAGCATATCTTGTTAGAAGCAGCCAGGCTACATCTTGAACACTTTGCTTCTTAGAAATTTCTTCTACCAGATATCCTAAATCATCTTTCTCATGTTCGAAGTTTCAATATCTTGAGGGCAAGGGCATAATGCCTTCAATTTCTTTGCTAATACATAAAAAAGGTGACATTTTCTCCAGTTCTTAATAAGTTTCTCATCTCTATATGAAACCTCCTCACTCTGACCTTCACTGTCCATATTACTATCAGCTTTTCAGTCACAGCAATTTAACATGTATCTAGGAAGTTCCAAAACTTCTCTCATCTTCCTGTCTTCTTCTGAGCCCTCCAAACTGTTCCAACCTCTGCCTGTTACCCAGTTCCAAAGTTGCTTCTACATTTTCGGGTATCTTTATAGCAATGCCACACTTCTCAGTACCAATATTCTGTATTGGACACAGATCCAAACCATATCAATTTTTTTTTATATTTGAACATAGATTCAAACCATATGAACAAGCATGCTGGTGCAATATGAGCTGATCATTTTCTAAACTGGGCTTACTGAATTCAACTTGTTAAGCTAAATATTGTCTTTGAAAGTATGCTATATCAAAGCACAACCAATTTTTTATTTTACTCTTTCCTGAAATTTATTAAATAACTAAATGATTGCTTGCAACTTCCTTTTAAAATATATTACTGAATGTTAAAACTGATCTTGAGGTTCTGGAGGCTCTCTACTGGGAGTTATATATTCATCATTGAACTTAATATACATAAACACTTCAGAGGAGAGCTAATATTACACCCATAATAAAGAGAGAAAAGTTACCATCAGAGAGTGGAATAAATTGTTTAAAATCACACATCAAAGATGTGGTGGAGACTAAATTTGATCCTATGACTTTCTGGCTCCAAGCCTGTGCTATTTAGATTATACTATTAAGTGTCTTAAATCCGTTTTTAAAAGGGTTAACTTTGATATAGCTCACACAATACCCATTTTTTAAAATTCAGTTGCCTTCTGTCAGGCACCATTGAGAGCAATGAGGAAAGAGAAATGGACAACACAACCATCATTGTGGCCTTATTGGTTTTATAGTTTAGTGGCAAAATACAGCCACTAATCAAATATGATCAGAAATTATAATCATATCAATTTACACTCAAAACATGTTAAAAGTGCCAAGAGAAAAAGAAACAGGTTACTTCTAGATCAGATAACAGGAAATCAGAAAAGTCTTCCATAATGAAAATTTTGGAACTGAGATCCAAATTTATGTGAACTGAGATCTGAGGAAGAGAGTTTACAAACATAAAATGCAGGGAGTACTTGGGATCAGTTCCAGCTGGTAAGAAAAGCATATTAAAGGCCTTGTTTGAGAGAAAGCAACATCTAGTAATTAAAATAAGGACAGTATTGTACAGCCAGAATCCAAAGAATAAAGGGCAGGGCATAGAAAATGAGTTACTGCAGGCAATGGCAAGATTATGTTTTAGATCATGCTAAATACTTACATTTTAATCTGAGCTAATCATTGGGAAGCCATTGATGTATTTTCAAAAGTGGGTAGCAAATGAGATTTGCATTTTTAAAATTCCCTATTGGCTACATTGTAGAGAATGAAGGGGATAAATTAAATGATTAATAAGTTTAAGATATCTTTATGTATCTGAGTGGTGATACCATATGACATATTGAATAAATGAGACTAGAATTCAGGGGAGAGTGCTAGGCCATGAAAAAGTATTTTGGAATAATTTGGAATATAAGGAAGCTAACTAAAATAAATAAGGTTGTAGATTATAGAGCAGAAAACAGTGGGCTACTTCTAATTCCTGGGAACACCAAAGTTTACTGAACAACTTAAGAAGATTCAGCCAACGTTGGAGAATGAGAGTAGCAAAAATGTTGGAAGAAAATGGTTTTGTAGCAGCAAAACAAAGTGTTTGAAGCAGAAAGAAAATGGTCAACAATGTTATATGCTCTTTAGGAGTTAATTGAGACAGGAGAGGAAAAAGGTGATTGGGATTAAGTAATGTAGGGACCTTGGTTATTCTAGTGCAAACATTTTGACAGAAGTTAGGGGCCGAACCCAGATTGGCATGAATTAAGGTTCAACACAAGGTGAGGAAAGAAATACAGAAAGAAAAGACTGGTTCTTCCAAGATATAAATCTTACGAAGAGGATAAGTAAATTAGATTTATAGGTAAAAGAAAATGCCGTCAAGATATTTTGCAAAGCTCTGTGGTAGTATAATTGACTCACAATAAATTGTATGTATTTGAAGTGTAGAATTTGACAGGTTTTGAAATATCTATACACTTGTGAAATCCAAACCACTCTTAAGATTATAAGTGTATTGTCAGCCCCTAAATTCCTTCATGCCCCTTTGGAGTACTTTTCTTCTGTCCTTCCCTAACCCTTTGCTCCATCAAAAGGCACCTACTTATCTGCTTTCAGTCACAGTGATTAGTTTGTTCTTTTCTAAAATTTTATATAAATGAAAACATACAGTATGCTTATATTGTTTATTAGACTTCTTCCATTTAGCGTAATAACCTTGAGAGTGTGTTTTTGTGTGCATCCAGGGTAGTCTAGAAGGGCTTCAGGATGACTACTAGAGGCATTTGGTATTTGTCTCTGCCAAAAAGCAGAGTCAAAATAGGGATGAGATAATCACACTTCACATAGGTCATCTGAGAGAGACAACTTGAATAAAAAATAGTCAAGTGATAGGAAGAACATAAAGCAAGGAAGGAGAGGCAAGTGAGGTAGCCTCCTCAGCTGGGATCAGCAGGGGGCCTCTGTGGGGAAGGAGAAAGGATAAGTGAGTGAACTTCAGAGGTTCACATCCCCACTGCAGACTCCTGCATCCTAATTGTGAAAAAGACTTTAGATCCTCATGGACTCAAAGGCTAACATAGGGAGCTGCTTAGAGACCGTGCGAGGCATTGCTTCAGAGAGGGAGCTCATGCTGGGTCCCACATACCTCTTGAGCCCTAGGGAGCTATAGCAAGATGCCATATTGAGAACCCAGCCACCACCAGACTGCATCCTACTCTGGGGCATAACAGAACCTGCATCTCCACATCTCTGGAGACTTATTGACATGCCCTGCCTACAGCCACACACCACAGCTGGCTGCTGCCTTCAAGGATAAAGGTGAGCCATTGGCAAAGACCCTGTTGCCCCAGCAGTAAAGCCACTATGCATTTCCATATGTACTGACATCAGATTTCCCCACCTGCAGCAGCTACAGCTATGGATGCAAAAGTCAGGGCTGAAGTGCAAGTAAAGTGTACTCCCCAGCCACCTGCATATGGCTGCTACCACTGCAAGCAACCCTACCTTCCCTGGTAGCAGGGCTGTAGTGTGGCCACTGATGCCCCAATCCACTGTCTTGGGCCTGGGGATTACTCCACTCCTGCTTACCACAGCCAGTGCCTTAAAGCACCACAAGGGGTCCTGAGAACAGGTTTTCCCAACCTAGCTCTGCCCCTCCAGTGCCTGAGCATGAAGTTTTGGGGTCTGGGAACCATCCTGTCCATCTATCACAGTAGGTACCCGAGCCCTCTGCCCAGAGGCCTGAGGTTGGGCCCACCCAATGTACTGCTACCACCACAGTGGGGAACCATCTGGATGTGCCACCTGTGGTCCTGGGGACTGGCCCATCAAGCCTGTCACAGCCACCACCAACATCAGAGTAAACTGCTTTGGACTTAGAGATTAATCCCACCACTGTTGCTGATATCACTCAAACCACTCATATAGTCCAGGGCCCCAAGGACTCCCTCACTGGCTCAACCCACAATTGCTACTACCAGTACACACACAAGTTGCATGGAGGCCCAAGAAATGGCGCACCTGGATGCTAACATTGGTGCCAGAATATACCACCCTGGTGCCCAAAGTCAAGAACACTCAGCTTACCACTACCATCACTGGGGCCTGAGGTCAGGCCCACCCAGTGTCCCCATTCTCAATAAAACTTCACCACAGCCTCCACTACCAATTGCACCCTAAGCCACTGAGGAAACTTAGACACCACTGACCTTGTTTACAACTACAATCATATGGAGACTATACTATTGCATGCACCCAGAATCAAAGCCAAAGTGCCCTACCTCATCAACACCATAGATACATCTTCTGGAAAAAGTTCTTTCATACAAAAGCAAATTCAAAAAATTAAAAGAAGTGACTGTTACATCACATGTTCAGAAATCAACATAAGGGCACAAGAAAAATGACAAAGGAACACAACAATTTTCCAGCAGCAAATTTCAATGAAGAAATTTATGAAATCCCACAAAAAGATTCAAAATAATATTAAAGAAGCTCAGTGAGATACAAGAGAATACCAAAAATAATACAAAGAAATCAGAAAAACAATTTAGGATACAAATGAGAAATTTACCAAAAATATATCATTAAAAAATAAAGAAATTCTGGAGCTGAAGAATTCACTGAATGAAATACAAAATACATTCAAAAGCTTCACAATAGATTAGATCAACAGAAGCAAGAATTTCAAAACTTGAAGACAGGTCGTTTGAAATAACCCAGTCATAACCCAGTCAGACAATTAAAAGAAAAACAGAATTAAAAAGAATGAGCAAAGCCTTAGTGGCGTATGAACACCTAATGTGACCAAATATTTGAATTGAAAACTTTCCAAGTCTAGAAGGAGATTTAGACATCCAGACACAGGAAACCCAGAGATCCTGAGAGCTACAATGCAAAAAGGTCTTTCCTATAGCACATTACAGTCGAATTGTCAAATTCAAAGACAAAGACATAATTCTAAAAACAGCAAGAGAAAAGCATTTGGTTAGTTATAAGGGAAACCAATTAGACTAATAGTGGATTTCTCAGCAGAAACCTTACAAGCCAGAAAAGAATGGGATGGTATATTCAAAGTGCTGAAAGGAAAATTGCCAGCCAAGGATAATATATCCCCTAAAGGTATTCTTCGTAAATGAAAGAGATATAAAGTCTTTCTCCGACAAGCAAAAGCTGAAGGAATTTCTCAAGGCTGACCTTACAATAAATGCTTAAGGGAGTTCTACACCTGAAAGTTAAAGAGTGATATCTACCATCATGAAAATGCATAAAAGTGTAAAACCCACTGTTACACCAAACACACCAACAAGGAATAGAAAAAGCTAAAACAGGATCATTTCAGAAAACCACCAGACTACAATAACAAGCAATAACAGAGAAAGAACAAAGGATACAGAAAACAACCAGAAATCAACTAATAAAATGGTAAGAACAAGCTCTTAAGTATCAATAATAACCTCGAAGGGAAAAGGATTAGTTTTTTCACTTAAGAAAAGGTATACTGTATGAATGCATTAAAAAAAACATAACCCAACTTAATTCAGACTATAAGAAACTCATATCACCTGTAAAGACACATAGAGACTGAAAATAAAGAGAGGGAACAGAAAAAAGATATTCCATTCAAACGGAAAGCAAAGCAAACAGGGTTACCTGTACTTACATGTGGTAAAATAGACTTTACATCAAAAACAATAAAAGGAGGCAAAGATCATGATATAATGATAAAAGGATAAATTCAGCAAGAGGATATAACAATTTAAAATATATATGCACCCAACACCAGAGTACTGACATTTATAAAGCAAATATTATGAGATGTAAATGAAGAGACAGATTCAAATACAATAACAGTTGGAGACTTCAACACCATGCTGTTAGTATTAGCCAGATCATCTAGAAAGAAAATTAACCAAGAGACATTGGATTTAAACTGCACATTAGGTAAAATAGACCCAACAGACATTTAGAGTTTTTTATAAGGTGTAAATTATAACTTTTTTCTTTTGTGGATTATGCTTTTAATGTTGTATTAAAGAAATATCGGTTTAACCCAAATTCATAAATATTTTCTCCAGTGTTTTCTGATACAATTTTTGAGTTTTAGGTCTTACATTTAGATATAAAATCCATTTCAATTTAATTTTTATATGGCATTCCTCTAGATTGAAACTTTTCCAGTAAAATGTGTTGAAAATATTAACCTTTTCTCTTTGCATTTTCTTTGCACTTTTATCTAAAATAAATGGACCCTATATGTAGATCTACTTACAGACTCTATTCTGTTCCACTGATCTCTTCTTTACTTGTATGAGAGCACTACATTAAATGGATATTATTCTTTCCTAAAATGTTTGATAGAATTCAGCAGTGAAAACATTTGTCCTGACAATTTATAGTAATAATATTACTAGTAATATTATTAAATATTACAGAACCATATCTCTTATTAATATGGATGCAACAACCCTCCACAAAATGTTAGAAAATAAAATACAACTGTGTTACTCAGTGTTCTCTAGAGGGACAGAACTAATAGGATAGATGCATTTATGAAGGAAAGTTTATCAAGGTGTATTGACTCACACGATCACAAGGTGAAGTCCCACAATAGGCCATCTGCAAGCAGAGGAGTATGGAAGCCAGTTCAAGACCCAACACCTCAAAAGTAGGGAAGCTGACAGTGCAGACTTCAGTCTATGACTGAAGGCCCAAGAGCCCCTGGCAGATCACTGGTGTAAATCCATGAGTCCCAAAACTGAAGACTTTGGAGTCTGATTTGGAGGGGAGGAAGCATCCAGAAGAGGAGAAAGATGAAGGCCGGGAGACTAAGACAGTCTAGTCCTTCCCTGTTCTTCTGCCTGCTTTATTCTAGCTGCAGTGGCAGCTGATTAGATGATGCCCACCCAGATTGAGGGTAGGCCTGCCTCTCCCAGTCCACTGACTCAAATGTTAATCTCCTTTAGCAACACCCTCTTATATAATTTTTGAGTTTTAGGTCTTACGTTTAGATATAAAATCCATTTCAATTTAATTTTTATATGGTGCTTCTCTAGTTTGAAACTTTTCCAGTAAAATGTAATCAAGATGGCTCTGGTATAGTCTTTTACTCTGCAGCACAGAGCTTTGTTATGGCAAACACTTTTAAGTCATTTTGAAATAGTTGTATTTCCTCTACCTTTGTCAGAGCCAGGAAGGCATCTTTCTTAACTCCCCTGTGAGAACTTAGGGGAGTTGATGTTCCTGGAGGTAAACCCCCCCAAAAAATGTTTTGACTTCTTTATGAATTAATCTCCAAGGATTCTCTCTGTTTCATGCTAGTCCATACTCAGCTTCCAGTATTTAGTTACAATTACAATGAGGTATCCTATCAGTTTTTGGCTCTAGTGGTTTCTGTTCCAGGTAAGCAAATCTAGCCTGTGACTCTCTGGATCCATCCCTCTCCAGATTTCCCGGTGCTTTTGCCTTGCAGTCTCAGTGATATGGTTTGGATTTGTGTCCTTGACCAAATTGCATATCAAATTGTAATCTCCAGCATTGGAGGAGGGGCCTGGTGGGAGGTGATTGGATCATGGTGGCAGATTTCCCCATTGCTTTTCTCATGATAGGGAGTGAGTTCTCATGAGATCTTGTTGTTTAAGTGTATGGCACCTTCCCCACTCCCTCTTTCTCCTGTTTCAGCCATGTAGGACATGCCTGCTTTCTCTTTGCCTTTTGCCATAACTGTAAGTTTCCTGAAGCCTCCCCAGGCATGCTTCCCGTACAGCCTTTGGAACCTGGAGTCAATTAAGCCTATTTTTTGTTTAATAAATTATCCAGTCTCAGGTAGTTCTTTATAGCAATGCAAGAACAGGATAATGCACTCAATTCTCTAATGTTTCCAAGAAAAGTCACTGATTTTCAGGTTTTCCATATTTATGTTGTTGCAATTATGATGGCAGGAGTGATAATTTCCAAGCTGCTTTAACATGTTAGCACTGAAGCCAGAACTTCTATGATATGATTATTCCATTCTTTTAGCTTACTTTGATATATTTCAGTTTAGAAATAGGATTTCTCTACATTTTACAGAGCTTCATAGTTAAAGGAAAAAAATAAGCTAATCTAAAAAGATAATTGAAAATTTAGATATTTTGAACCTACATAATACAGCCATGAAAGAGTTAATAGGTCACCGGATTAATATTGCATTTTATAATGAAGATACTTGAGTGAAGTTTATTTTTATCCTTTCAAGATATGTTGCTACTAACAGAAGTAATAAACATTATTTGGTCGAATATTTTCATGCATGTTAAATTCTCTATTATGATATTTGCCATTACAAAGTGATTGGCAAAGTACATATCAAATGAAGTCTCCCATCTCAGTGAATGAACACTGTCTTAACAGTGCACTCCATTTAAGCATCTTGCTAAAGGACTTCAATTTTGTTATAAATGCTTCTGTATTAAATTTTCAAAATTTACTTATACACTAAGTAAAAACCTGAATTTGATTCTCTCAAATTACTATATCAAAACTAATGGAAGATATGTTGCTGTTGGTTAATTTCAGTTTGAAATTCTGTAATAAATATTTCTGGAATTGTGATGGGTTGAAAACTCCAAATCTTATGCTCCCCTTTCTGTCCCCAAAAGCTATCTGACCCATAATTATTATGTTTAAAATTTAAATTACTATTTTATAATTCTATGAAACTTTGTATGATAATTAGAGATATGTCTAGAGCAAAGTAATTTCAAATCTAACTATCAGCTTTGGGAATCTGAATGAGGCAAGCCCAAATGACAATGACTTATGTCTCTGCATCCCCAAATTTCCAGAATATATCCTCTGAGTATCCAGGAAGTGGGCTTAAGCAATGTCAAACTGAAGTTTGTCTTTTCTGTTTCTGTGCTGAATTGGAAGCTCTTATATTTCATGAAATGTTTGATTTTACTACGCAGTAGTAAGTACCTCTAACTGACTGTTAGGCACTTTTGATTAAGAATAAATCTAGTTGATCATTTATAATGAAGAGAATATTCATGATATTTTGCTGACCACACAGCCTCAAGGATCTCTCTAAGACTGTTTTTTAAGAAAGAAGATGGGATTATAGATCATTGGTTATCAGTCTGGATGAACATAAGTATGATCTCAGATATTTTTGAAGAGTGCTGAAACCAAGGTATCTATAGACAGAGATTCTTATTTGGTTAGATGTAAATATGACCTTGGTTTTAGGATTAGATGTAAATATGACCAAGGTTTTAGGATTTTAAAAACTATTCTTATATACAGTCAGTATCAAAAACCAGTGATCCAATGACTATAAAGTAAATATGTCTTTTTAGATTGGTTCTCATGACCCTTAGTTCAAAACTGAAGAATTTTATTTCCTAATAGCTTGCTTTAGTTTTGATAAATGCTATGATTTGAATGCTTGTCCCCTCCCAAATTCATGTTGGAATTTGATTGCCATTTAATAGAATTAAGAGATGGGAATTTCCGAGGTGATTAAGCCATAAGGACTCTGCCCTCATGAATGAATTAATATCAATGTAATGAGAATGGGTTTGTTATTGTGGGAGTAGGCTCCTTGTAAAGAGACAATTTTGTCCTGGTTTTCTTGTTCTGTCTCACCCTCTCTTTGTCCTTTTACTGAATGGTGTCTTCTGCCATGTTATGTCACAGCAAAAAGGCCCTTGCAAGATGCTGGCTCCTGATCTTGGACTTCAGAGCCTCCAAAATTGTGAGAAATAAATTTCTGTTCATTATAAATTACCCAGTCTGTGTTGTTCTGTTAGAGCAGCACAAAACAGACTAAGAAAACAGACAACCATAACAATGAACAATGCTGAAATTCCTTTTTAATATATCACTGCTGAACTTTATTTTTCTCAATGAGCACAACTAAGCTTTTTAAGCAGAAAAATTTCTGTACTTAATCCTGTTGTTAACAGCCACTATGAGTCACCAACAGAGTCCAACACTTGCTGGGGCAAATGGTGTTTGAAAAAGTCTTTATAATTTTTTTTGCTTGATCTCTTTATGATAAATTTAATGTACCCAATGAAAATGAAATATCAAGTACCATGAATGATGAATCATTTTATTATGCATTCCCGATAGCTGATCCTCTTTTAAAAAGTTGTAAATTATTTTTCTTAATCTTAGAGCTTTTAAGAAATAAAACTCAGATTATTTTCTCTGAACATTAATGTATAAAAACAGTTAACATATACTCATGAAATTATATATTTTTAAAAAATAAAAATATGCTTCAATTTAGTTGTAATTTAACCTTAGTTCCCAGAGCTGTATAAGTATTATACAAAGGATATATACCAGGGAGTCTTCAATTCCCAGATAGGAGCAATCGCTCCTACACAAACAATTGTGAGCTCGACTCTTTTTGTTAAGTTGAATTAATGCCAGCTATACTTATAAATTAACTTTGAAACATTTTGTGCCACAGATAAAAAACAGAAGTAAGGCTATTTACAATTATTTTATTTTTATTTCAAAAAAGCAAAAAATTATCAGATTTACAAAAATAGTAACATATTTTAATACCTATTTGCAATTTATACTCTTAAAATACTATGCAATTATACTATCCATAAGGTAATTTTGAAATTTGTAAGAAAGCATACTGTGTAATATACAAAAGACCCCAATTTAAACTAATATTTAAACATCTTCTTTCAATGTTCAATAGCATAAACTTCATGAAAATAACATTAAAACTAGCTTGGAGGCCTTAAAACAATATGAAGCATAACATATGTAACACTTTCACCCTACAACCTTAAACCCAGAATATGCCTTGCATATAAACATAAAAAGTTTTAATTTAGGTACATCAGAAATAATCAGATGAATTGTCAATTCTAGTAAATGAAGTGGTTGTATGATGGTTTCTATGAGCTGTATGCTATCAATGGTAATATTTTTCACTTTTTCTGGAAGTGTCATATAATATAATTAAACTTGTCTTCTGTCTTTTGCAATTGTAAAAGATGTCTTAAAAAAAGCTTAAATATGGGCCGGGAATGGTGGCTCATGCCTGTAATCCCAGCACTTTGGGAGGCCAAGGTGGGAGGATCACGAGGTCACGAGTTCGAGGCCAGCCTGACCAACATGTTGAAACCCTGTCTCTACTAAAAATACAAAAATTAGCTGGATGTGGTGGTGCGCACCTGTAATCCCAGCTACTCAGGAGGCTGAGGCAGGAGAATCGCTTGAACTCGGGAGGCGGAGAGTGCAGTGAACTAAGATTGTGCCACTGCACTACAGCCTGGGCGACAGAGTGAGACTTCATCTCAAAAGAAAAAAAAAAAAGCCTAAATACATGGAACTTAAGTAATACATAGAACTACTTAATGTAAGAGGTAGCAATAAGAGTCATGTGTTTGGATTTAGGTTTATTGCTTTTTCATCTTGCCAACTATCCCTTTCTCAAATGTCTTGCTACTTGGAATGTGTGCATTTAGCTCACTATTTTTTAATGTGTGGGCCATTTATTATGTAATATATTGTAATATATAAATGCATCATATTCTGATCTAGATTTTAAGTTATATATCTGAGAGATCTTTTTACATTTGTTTTAAGCTCTGTAGGGTCTAATAATATAAAAACAACATCTTTTAGAGATTTAGCTTATATGTTGACATTTTCTTCTAACAATATTGATAATTACTCTAGTCAAGTCTTTTCCTACTCCATGGAAATATGGACTTTACTGTATTATTTCTTGCTACATCCTTTGAGGAGATGTTGTTGAAAAAATGTTGGGTGGGCAGACTACATATTTTTCTTTTTCAACTTTTCCTATAAACCATAGCATAGGTCTATATAAATCACCAGATTTAACTGTAAGGGGTAAATCAATGGACGACTGGGCAATTACATTTAGTCTTCATGTAAGTGCAATGAATTAAATAGTATTTACACTGCATTTTGCTTAAGGGAGAGTGGAATAAGTAGTATTGTTCCTGAATTTCTATATTGGATTTTCTTACATAAAGCCACTGCTTTGGTTTGAATGTTTGTTCCCTCCAAAACCCGTGTTGAAATTTAATTGACATTGTGACAGTATTATTAGATAAGACCTTTCAGAGGTGATTGGGTCATGAGGGCTCTGGCTTTATGGGTGGAATTAATGCTGTTATAAAAGAATGAGTTTGATCCCCTTTTCGCTCTTGCTTTTCTGTCTTCCACCATGTGTAAAGATGCAGCAAGAAGGCTCTCACCAAATGCCACACTTTGATCTTGGTCTTCCCAGCCTCCAGAACCATGATAAATAAGTTTCTGTTCATTATAAATTACCTAGACTCAGGTATTCTGTTGTAGCAGGACAAAATGGAATAAGATAACCACTAAAGCTTATTTTTCCTCAGATATACTGTCAAATGAAGTACTATTTTTAAGATTTCTACATATATAATGCCATTTTCCAAAGACATATTTAGGAAAAATTCTACTAATTTCTAACTCTTGTATTAGGATTTAAGAAACATAAAATCATCTCAGTGTAGCTACAAAGCAGTAAGTACTTTGATGAAGTTAAAACAATTAATAAAAGAAAGAGAAGGCTGAACTCTCAGAATGCCCTTCTTTTCCTATTATTTCTTCTTTAAAACCAGGGAGCTGGCTCTTTTACAGGAAAAGGTAATTTAAAAAAATCAAAACAAAACTGTTATTGTCTCATTCATATGGGGCTTGAACTTGCCTAGAAATGGCATATCAGGAACACATTTATTTATATATTAAGTTAAATACTCTTGGATAGTTAATGCCGCTTTGTATTCTATGACTACTTTTTCTGAAAATCTAAATAGTTTACTGAATCTTTCGTGTATGATTATGGTAAACTGTCCAAAAGGTCAAGATGATGAAAGAATTACCTCTTATTTTAGATATTGTGGTAAAGCTGAGATTAGCAGTTAGATATTAGATGCACACATAAATAATAAACGTAATGTGTAAATGAAATATTGCATGTATTGTCTTTATGAGATCTTACACATTTGTTTTTAACATTTAGCTCAGTAGTAGTTATATTCACTCCATAATTCATCTGAGATTAGGTTTTAGGTGTAAGCAGTACCTCCTCCTTTACTTAATATGTGCACAAAGTTGTTTGGAGAGACTGTCAGGCTTAATTTTCTGCCAATGAAAAACGGTCAAGAGGTTAGATATATTCAATAATAATATAAAATTATTAGTTTTAAAAATTCTATAGGATATACTTTATATATTTAAGGCCTTACTTTTAAAAAACATGTTTAATGTTATTTCTATAAGAACCTTATAGTCTTTAGGATTGCGTGCATGTGTGTGTGTGTGTGTGTGTGTGTGTGTGTGCTTGGTTTTCTCTATGAATTCAACTAATAATGACAGCAGCACCATTTATTGATATTTTATTCTATTTCAAACATTATGTTCCAGACATTTCAGAAATGCTACTTCATTCAATCTTTTAAAAATCCTGTAATACAGATATAAACATACCCTGAAGTCTCCTCTGATACGTGGCTTTTTCGCTCCTGTAATTTGTCAAGCAGGAGGGTAGTTCCTCGAGTGGGAGAGAAGGTTACAGCTCTTTTACTCCCACCTCCCACAGTTAGCTTGCTGGGTAAGCCAGTGACGTCACAACTTTTTCGCTCTGGCAGTTGGGCTAACAGGAGAGAGTGGCGTCCAATGGTTTCTTCTCTCACATTGTTTGGGGAGCAGAAGGGAAGGTTACAACTCTTTTACTCCCACCATCCCCAGCTCAGCAAGTTCCAAGTTCTTGTCCTGCAACAAAGGAATAAGATATGTCGACACCAGAAAGTAAATAAGGCAGAAAAGAATTTTGAGCTATAGAAGGAAAACTCCCAGCTGCCAGAGGGGACCTGAAAGCCGGTTAGCCATCTGTGAGGCTGAGTCCTGGGGGTTTTATGGGCTTAGAATGGGGAAGTGCATGCTGATTGGTCCATGGGTGGTATTGGAAAAAGCACCATTGGATTGGTTAAAGGGCATCATTCAGAAGGAACCAATTGAGAGAGAGTGGGTAAGACAGGGATAGTTCTCACTGCAGCTGTGGACTCTGTCTGGAACTGGCAGCTTGGATCTCAGGCTTTAAGCTGTCCTTGGTTTGAGGATCGGGTTTCCTGACTCTGCTTGCCTAGGAGTTTTTCTGTCTCCTGTCACTATCACAGGCATTCATGATCTCTTAGGTAATACTTCACTAGCTTTTAACATACCTCTCTCTTTCAGTATCTTCTGAAACTACTATGGCTCATATGTTTACCAGTATTTTTTTAAATGAAACATAGATCAGATTATGAATAAGAAAGAAATGTAATTTATGATAGTCTCCAAGTAAAGTACAAATTTCATCCTATTTTTATGTCATTCTTTATTTTACAAACTTCTCTGTTTACATATGCCATGAATGGATCCAACTAAATTTAACTATTTGGGAGGCAGGAAACATTGTGGCTAAAATATAGGCTTTTAAATTTGCTTTAATGTTGCTTAACTCTGTGACCAGGAAATGTATATCTGTAAAATTAAGATTATAGTATTTAACTACCACATAGCAATATAATACCCATATACTGGGGGTAAAATGCTTAATGTATACACATTGTTTTGTTACTGCTTAATATGTGTTAGCCCTTATGTTATTTATTGAATGACGTCCCCACAAAAAAGGTTAAAGTCCTAACCCTCATGACCTCAGAGTGCAGTCTGGTTTGAAAATAGAGTTGTTACATATATAATTATTTAAGATAAGTCTTTTATATTGGAGTAGAATGACTCTCTAATCCAATGTGAATGGTGACATTATAAGAAGACATGGAGACATAAAGATAAAGCCACGTGAAAACGGTGGCAGAGATTAGAGTGTTGAATCTACAATCCAAGGAATGCCAAGGGTTACCTGGGCTATCACTAGAAACCAAGAGCGAGATGTGGGACAGTTTCTCCCTCAGATCCCTAGGAAATAACCAACTATGTTGAAACCTTGATTTAAGACTTCTAGACTCAAGAATTGAGAGAATAAATTCCTGTTGTTTTAAACAATCCAGTTTTTAGTACCTGGTTATCACAGCCCTAGGAAACTGATACATCTTATTATATCAACTTTTCTTATATTCTTTTATCTTTATTCCTCTGCTCCCACTTTCCTAGTTGTGCTTTTCAGTAACTAACTCCTACTTTTGCTTTAAGCTCAGTTCTCTAATGCATGTCTGTACCTCTGTCATACAATCCACACTCTTAGCTATTAATTGATATATATCTATATCATATCCTTTATCATAATATGATTTTATGGTTTACTTATATATAGTCTGCTTTGCTGGAATATAAACTCCCAATATTCAAAAACTGAAATGTATCTGCTTTTGATTCTTTGTTAGTCCAATATCTTTCACAGTGTCTTGCACATGAAAGAATCTCAAAGGCTTCTGAATTAGAATTGTTTTGGTTTTTGTTTGTTTTTAGTAACTGTGACCATAACAGAGTATTGTTTCTAGAATTTCTTTGTAATGCTAATTCTAAAATTTATAGAAATATTGAGGGCTTGTAGAAAGCATTTTGGACAAATATGCTAAGTAAATTCATTTCTTTATAATGATCTGCAATTTGTTAGACTACAAATATATCATTAACATTTCAGCATTAATTTTTTGTCAGAATATTTGTTTGCAAATTAGAATAATTCCAAACTTCTGAAGATTCCATTTTTAAAGAAATTCATATATTTAAAATTTAGGTTTTATCAAGTTCAACATTATATGCCGAATTTTAAAATTGTTAAATTATTAGTAGAAACTTGGAGAAGTATTTTATATCCAAATATCATCAGCATAATTTACATTTATATTTTCTTATATTAAATCACAAAATAAAAACTCGTAACTTTTAAAAATTTCTTCCTATTTAACTAAAATCAAGATATATAGAATATTCCACATCTGCCATTTATTTTGTTAAAGCTCAGTAGATAAATATATCCTCATTTTCTAATAATAAATAATGTGTTTGTAATTTAAGCAATAAGATACCCCCAGCAGGCTGAACCCTGGGTAGCAAGGGGAAAAACATTATTTTTGATGCACTTGACCTTATAGTGCATACCCAGGAACATGCTGAGTGTAATATTTTTTACTTATACCCAAAGAGTAGAGGTTACTATTGGAACCTGACAGGATTTGTGAGGATTCAAAGGCCAGGGAAACATAGTTCTGACTAGGAGACGGCTCTGTTTGTGGTTCACAGAGGTAAGATGTACACTTTACCTGTGTCTGTTCATATTCAGTCAATTATATCACCATCAGACTTGTGATGGTCACATGTTTTATACCTTATGGTACTTTGTTAACAGAAGACCAAGAACTCTATGGAGGAAAAATTAAGAGTTTATTTTCTATTAAAACAAAATTTGCAGATTGGGAAAGCACAGCCTTCAATACAATGAAAATGTGCTCTCTGAAGAACAAAGAAAGCGGCTATCTTAAATAGAGAAAATTCTCACCCAGGTTTTCACTGAGGACAATTTATGCAAATGCAAGTTTCAAACTTGTTTAGTTCTGATTGGTCAAAATAGTCAAGCTCTGACTGGGTGGTTTCCAAGCTCAAAACCAGGTGTCTCTGTCAGAAGTTTCTTTCAAATGACCAGTTTCAGTGGTGGACTGGGTAGAGGGAGTCCAGCCACAGTTTATCTTGGCACCAACTACAGGGACTGGTTTGGTTTGATTGTTGAAAGAGAATTTCTGTAGCACCTTTACAACATCTTTCCAAGAACACAGAGTATGTGACCGTTCTCTCACCCAGCCATGGCTGCCTGATTCTGTTTTCACTTTGAACATCTCCATTAGCCATGAGAGTCTATTTTTTCTGTCATCTGGGGCTATAATTTAACATTGCCATGTAAACCTGCTTTCTCAATGTATTTTCTCATATAGTAGTTGAAATGAGATTTGATTTTAATTTGAAAAACAAAGTGAATAAATTATAGGGTCTTTTTTTCATTATAAAGTGTTAAAACTCGGATAGTTAATATTTCTCCTGTCAAAATTTAGTATATATCCATGATTGAAAAAATGTGAAGGAAAAATTTATGGTCTGGTTACAAGTGGAATAGCATTCTTATTTGTCTCTAAAAACCACTTTTTAAGGATTAATGAAGTCTCTTCAATGAACATTTCTTATATTTCTTATATTAACAAAACCTGATCCTATCCTGAAGACACTACTTCCTTGACTCCCTTCCAGGTAGAATTTGTTGTCTTACACTCTGACTACACATCACTGCACAAAACTATGGTAAATGTTCTTTTCACTTCCTCAGTGTTTCCGTGTTGTTATTCCTTGATCTATTTTTTAAAATGAAAAAAAAGAAAAGAAAAGAAAACCCACTTTGCCCCTTTAGAGCTCATGCCATTAGGATAAATGCCTTTACCCTTACACATCCATAGTATCTAACATTTTATTGAAAATGTTGTCCCATGGGATGCATTATTAATACTAATTGTAGAAACCCAGTCCAACAATATGGCTTTTCAGGTCCTTCACGTTCTCATCTCCAACAGCTTATCTTCATAACACGTTTTAGTTTCCTACTCTTTAGACTTTAGCACCTGCAACAGCAGGACTAACGAATATTAAATTCAGACCCTTTAAATCTCACTTCCTAGCAACTTTCTCTCTTATTTGCCTCCTAATTTTTTTTTCTCTGTCATGTTGGGTCCTCAAGTCCATTTATGCCTTTAATTTCATCTAGAGCTCTCTACCCTGCTATAATAGATTTTTTCTTTCTTTTCTTTTTTTTTAATTATACTTTAAGTTTTAGGGTACATGTGCACAACGTGCAGGTTAGTTACATATGTATACATGTGCCATGTTGGTGTGCTGCACCCATTAACTCGTCATTTAACATTAGGTATATCTCCTAATGCTATCCCTCCCCCCTCCCCCCACAGTGTGTGATGTTCCCCTTCCTGTGTCCATGTGTTCTCATTGTTCAATTCCCACCTATGAGTGAGAATATGCAGTGTTTGGTTTATTGTCCTTGCGATAGTTTGCTGAGAATGATGGTTTCCAATTTCATCCATGTCCCTACAAAGGACATGAACTCATCATTTTTTATGGCTTCATAGTATTCCATGGTATATATGTGCCACATTTTCTCAATCCAGTCTATCATTGTTGGACATTTGGCTTTGTTCCAAGTCTTTGCTATTGTGAATAGTGCCACAATAAACATACGTGTGCATGTGTCTTTAGAGCAGCATGATTTATAATCCTTTGGGTACATACCTAATAATGGGATTGCTGGATCAAATGGTATTTCTAGTTCTAGATCCCTGAGGAATCGCCACACTGACTTCCACAATGGTTGAACTAGTTTACAGTCCCATCAACAGTGTAAAAGTGTTCCTATTTCTCCACATCCTCTCCAGCACCTGTTGTTTCCTGACTTTTTAATGATCGCCATTCTAACTGGTGTGAGATGGTATCTCATTGTGGTTTTGATTTGCATTTATCTGATGGCCAGTGATGATGAGCATTGTTTCATGTGTTTTTTGGCGACATAAATGTCTTCTTTTGAGAAGTGTCTGTTCATATCCTTAGCTCACTTTTTGATGGGGTTGTTTGTTTTTTTCTTGTAAATTTGTTTGAGTTCATTGTAGATTCTGGATATTAGCCCTTTGTCAGATGAGTAGATTGCAAACATTTTCTCCCATTCTGTAGGTTGCCTGTTCACTGTGGGGTAGTTTCTTTTGCTGTGCAAAAGCTCTTTAGTTTACTTAGATCCCATTTGTCAATTTTGGCTTTTGTTGCCATTGCTTTTGGTGTTTTAGACATGAAGTCCTTGCCCATGCCTATGTCCTGAACAGTATTGCCTAGGTTTTCTTCTAGGGTTTTTATGGTTTTAGGTCTAACATTTAAGTCTTTAATCCATCTTGAATTAATTTTTGTATAAGGTGTAAGGAAGGGATCCGGTTTCAGCTTTCTCCATATGGCTAGCCAGTTTTCCCAGCACCGTTTATTAAATAGGGAATGCTTTCCCCATTTCTTGTTTTTGTCAGGTTTGTCAAAGATGAGATAGTTGTAGATGTGTGGTATTATTTCTGAGGGCTCTGTTCTATTCCATTGGTCTATATCTATGTTTTGGTACGAGTACCATGCTGTTTTGGTTACTGTAACCTTGTGGTATAGTTTGAAGTCAGGTAGTGTGATGCCTCCAGCTTTGTTCTTTTGGCTTAGGATTGTCTTGGCAATGCAGGCTCAGGACTTTTGTGCTAAGACTGAGACATGAGACAGTCCTGCCAGAAACCAGAGAGGTTAGTCAGGTTACTTCAATCACTGTAGCCCTGAAATACTCTTGCTCTGGTTCCACCAGCCTGGTAAAATTACAGCCTAATTCCCTGGAGAAAATCACTCAGCTTGTTAAACTGGCACCACTGGAAAATATAGTTTATTTTTTTCTTAACATTGCCTGAGAATACAGTGTCATTTATGTCAACAGCACTTTCATTAGTTTGTGATTCTTCATTATTGTCCTTATACTTTCAGCCTCTTAACTGCCACAGTGCCCCCCATGCTTCCCTAAAAAATTAGAAACAACTTAACATAGTAGTAGTTACTGCCAACAGGCTTACATTTTCACCTTGATTACCTCTATCAACATTTAAAATTAACACTCATTTAAATGGAAGAGGAATTACTTCTTATTCAGTTAATCTCTTCATTTATAGTCTGAGTTAGTTTTACCCTGCCTTTCTCAACCTTACTTCCATTTGGCAACCAAATCTAATTTATTCTTGCTGTATATAGCCCTGAAACCATTCCAATTTTATCTACCTCCAGTGCCAACACCCATCTCTTAACTTGACCATCAGCTTCATAACTTGACCTCAGCAACTTCATAACTAGGCATCTTTCTCATATATATATATACTTTCCAATTGATATCTGACATTAAACTCAAGTGATCTTTGAAAAATGCAAACTGATCATTTCCCCTCTTGAATCAAAATGATTTAAAAACATTTCATTGTGCTTAACGTAAAACTCCAGCCATTAACATGACATGCAAAGTCCTAAATCATTTGGCCTGAGATTTCCTGTTCAGTTTATTTTCTCCTCTTTCAATTTGTGCTCCAGATAAACTAAACATTTCTTGTATTTCCTGGTATAAGCATGCTGATATTTTGCTTACAGCTGTTCTGTATATGGTTACCATTTCACCAGTCCCTTTTCAGCACCTAACTGCTACTCACTCTTAAGATTACATTTTATATATTACCTTTTAAGAATCATTTCTCAGAGTCTTAGACTGGTTAGGAGCTTCTGTAATTGTTCTTATAGCATGCTATACTTCCCCATCAAAACACTTCTCTAAGTCTATTGTCTGTCTTCCCTAATTGACTATGAATTCTGCGAGGAGGCTTGTCTTTCCTTTTTACAATCATATGCCTTAATGCTTGGGAGTTACTGGATAAGCAGTATACATTTGTAAATAAGGTAAATAAATAATTCAACTTAATTAAAAAAATTTTTTTTGGTGTCTAGTTATATTTATTATCAGATATACATTAGCCTAGTTGTAACCATTTCACAATGTATACATATATCAGAATATTATGTGTACACTGTAAATATATACAATTTTTATTGCCAAAAATAAAAAAAAATCATGAGATAAGGAATGTTATTTAGCACACATTCAGAATTCCTAAAATTTTGTCTGGAGCAATACAAATATTTACTAAATATATGAAAATATTTTAGTAGTTTTTAACTGTATTATCTTAAAATGTAGACCCATTTATGATATTGGATCATTTAAGGGATCAATTATTTCTCATTTCTAAGAAAATAGTTTATTGAAAGATTCCTTTAACTTTATTTAAAATTTTTTTCGACTTTTATTTTAGGTTCAGGGGTCCATGTGCAGGTTCATTATACAGATAGACTCTGTGTCATGGGGGTTTTGTGTACAGATTATTTTGTCACACAGGTAATAAGCATATTACCCAATAGGTAGCTTTTCAATTCTCACCTTCCTCACAGCCTCCATCTTCAAGTAGGTCCTGGTGTCTGTCGTTCCATTCTTTGTGTCCATGTGTGCTCAGTGTTTAGCTTCCACTTATAAGTAAGGACATGCAGCAATTGGTTTTCTGTTTCTGCATTAATTTGCTTGGGATAATGGCCTACAGCTACATCTAAGTGCTGCAAAGACATGATCTCATTCTTTTTCATGGCTTCATAGTATTCTGTGGTGTATATGTACCACATTTTCTTTATTCAGTCTACCATTGATTGGCATCTAAGTTGATTCTAGGTCTTTGCTATTGTGAATAGTGCTGTGATGAACATATGCATGGATGTGTCTTTACGATAGAACAATTCATGTTCCTTTGGGTATATATCCAATAATGAGATGTCTGGGTTGACTGGCAATTATGTTTTAACTTCTTTGAGAAATTGCCACACTGCTTTCTACAATGGCTGACCTAATTTACATTCCCAAGAACAGTGTATAAGCATTCCCTTGTCTCTACAAGCTCACCAGTATCTGTTTTTGGACTTTTTGATAATGGCTATTCTAACTAGTATGAGATGGTATCTCACTGTGGTTTTGATTTGCATATCTCTGATGATTAGTGATGCTGAGAAATTTTTCCTATGCTTTTTGGCCACATGTATGTCTTCTGTTGAAAAGTGTCTGTTCATGTTCTTTGCCCACATTTTAATGGGGTTGTTTGCTTTTTGCTTATTAATTTAAGTTACTTATAGATTTTGGATATTAGAACTTTGTCAGATACATAGTCTGCAAATATTTTCTCTAATTCTGTAGGTTGTCTGTTTACTTTGCTGATAGTTCCTTTTGCAGTGAAGAAGCTATTCAGCTTAATTAGGTCCCATTTGTCAATTTTTGTTTTTGTTGCAGTTGCGTTTGGCATCTTCATCATGAAATCTTTGCCAGGTCCTATGTCCAGAATGGTATTTCCTAGGTTATCTTTCAGGATTTTTATAGTTTAAGTTTTACAATTAAGTCTATAATCCACCATGAGTTGATATTTGTATATAGTGTAAAGAAGGGGTCCAGTTTTACTCTTCAGTCAGTTATTCCAGAACCATTTATTGAATAGAGTTAGGGTTAGAAGTCCTTTCTCCATTGCTTATTTTTGTCAACTTTTTTGAAGAACAAATGGTTGAGCAGTGTCTTGTAACTAGATTTTTTTTACCTCCCTAGTTAGCTATACTTTTAAATATTTTATTCTTTATTTTCTGGCTATTGTTAATGGGATTGTGTTCTTGATTTGGCTCTCAGCATGGATATTGTTGATGTATAGAAATGCTACTGATATATATACATTGCTTTTGTATCCTGAAACTTTGCTGAAGTTATTTATCAGATCTAGGAGCATTTGGGCAGAGACTATGGGGTTTTCTAGGTATAGAATCATCACATCATCTGCAAACAGAGAGAGAGTTTGATTTTCTCTCTTCCCACTTTTATGCCTTTTATTTCTTTCTCTTGCCTGATTGCTCTGTCTAGGACTTCTAATACTATGTTAAATAGGAGTGGCGAGAGTGGATATTCTTATCATGCTCCTGTTCTCGAGGGAATGCTTCCAGCTTTTGCTTATTTAGTATGATGTTGGCTGTGGGATTAGCATAGATGGCTCTTAGTATTCTGAGGTATGTTTTGTCAATGTTTTTGTCTAGTTTGTTGAGGATTTTTAACATGAAGGAATGTTGGATTTTGTTGAAAGCCTTTTCTGCATCTATTTGGATGATTGTATGGTTTTGTCTTTAGTTCTGTTCATGTGATAAATCATGTTTATTGGTTTGTGTACATTGAACCAACCTTGCATTACCAAGGCTAAAGCCTACTTGATTGTGGTGGATTAGCTTTTCAATATGCTGCTGGATTTGGTTTGCTAATATTTTGTTGAGGATTTTTGCATCTATATTCATCAAAGATATTGGCCCGAAGTTTTGTTTGTGTGTGTCTCTGCCAGGTTTTTGTTCATGATGATGTTGACCTCATAGAATAAGTTAGAGAGGAGTCCCTCCTCTTCAATTTTTTGGAATACTTTCAGCGATAATGGTATCAATTCTACTTTATACAGCTGGTAGGATTCAGCTGTGTATCCATGTGGTTCTGGACTTTGTCTAGTTGGTAGGCTTTTCATTATTGATTCAATTTCTGAACTCATTATTCGTCTGTTCAGGGATTCTATTTCCTCCTGGTTCAATCTTTGGAGGTGGTATGTTTCCAGGAATTTATCCATTTTTTCTAGCTTTTTTTCAGTTTGTGTGCAGAGTTGTTCATAGTAGTCTCTTCTTCATTTTGTCATTGGCAATTGTGTTTATTTGGATATTCTCTCTTTTTTTATTAGTCTAGCTAGTGATAGGTAGTGTAATAGATAACTAGCTAGACTAATAAAAAAAGAGACATTTATTCTTTCAAAAAGCCTGTTTCTGGATTTATTTATCTTTTATCTATTTTGCATCTCAATTTCACTTAATTAAGCTCTGATTTTGGTTATTTCTTGTCTTCTGCTAGCTTTAGGGTTGGTTGGTGGTTGTTACTCTAGTTTCCTTAGATGTG
The DNA here is from genome assembly GCF_000001405.40 of Homo sapiens. Lineage (NCBI taxonomy): Eukaryota > Metazoa > Chordata > Mammalia > Primates > Hominidae > Homo > Homo sapiens. The sequence goes on along the minus strand of NC_000004.12, from coordinate 133,049,360 downwards.
ATGGTAGGTTGTTAATTTGAGATCTTCCTAACCTTTTGATATGGGCATTAAACACTATTAACTTTCCTCCTAACATTGCCTTAGCTGAATCTCAGAGACTGTGGCACGTTTGTCTTTGTTCTCCTAGTTTCAAATAATTTCTTGATTTCTGCCTTAATTTCATCACTTACTCCAAAGTCATTCAGCAGTTGATTGTTTAATTTCCATTTAATTCTATGGTGTTGAGATATCTTATTAGTATTGATTTCTATTTTTATTGAACTATGATCTAAGTATGTGGTTGGTGTGATTTTGTTTTTATTTTTTAATTGTTTTATGGCCAATGTTGTTGATTTTAGATTGTGTGCCATGTGCAAATGAGAAGATTGTATATTCTGTTTTTGAGTGGAGTGTTCTGCAGATATCCGTTAGGGGCATTTGGTCAGATGTCAGTTTCAGATCATGAATATCTTTTTAAATTTTCTGCCTCAATTATTTGTCTAGTACTGTCAGTGGGGTGTCAAAGTCTTTTGCTATTATTATGTGCGAATCTTGCTTTATGAATCTCAGTGCTGCTATGTTAGGTTCATATATATTTACTATAATTATGTCTTCTTGTTGAATTGAACCCTTCACCATTAAGTAATGCCCTTCTTAGTCTTTTTATATTGTTGTTGGTTTAAAGTCTGTCTTGTCTGAAATTAGAATAGCAACCCTTGCTTTTGTCTATTATTCCTTTGCTTGGTAGATATTTCTCCATCCCTTTATTTCGAGCCTATGGATGTCATTGAATGTGAGATGTGTCTCTTGAAGACAGCATGCAGTTAGGTATTGCTTCATTATCCAACTTGCCACTCTGTGCCTTTTAATTGGCCATTTACATTCAATTTGCCACTCTGTGCCTTTCAATTGCCATTTACATTCGGTTAATATTTATATGTGCAGTTTTGATTCTGTCATCATATTGTTAGCTGGTTATTACACAGACTTGATTGTGTGGTTGCTTTATATTGTAAATAGGGTATGTAATTAAGTGTGCTTTTGTGGTAGCAGTTAACTGTCTTTCATTTCCATGTTTAGCACTTCCTTAAGGACCTCTTGTTAAGCACGTCTGGTGGTAACAAATTCCCTTAGCATTTGCTTTTCTGAAAAGGATCTTATTTCTCCTTCACATATGAAGCCTAGTTTGGCTGGATATGAAATTTTGAGTTGGAATTTCCTTTTTTTTTTTTTTTTTTTGAAGGAGTTTCTCTCTTGTTGCCTAGGCTGAAGTGCAATGGCCCTTTCTCTTTAGCTGCCTTTAACACTTTTTTTCTTTCATTTCATCTTGAAGAATCTGATGACTATGTGTCTTGGAGAGTACCAACTTGTACATGATCTTGTTGGGGATCTCTGCATTTCCTGAATTTGAATGTTGGCCTCTCTAGTGAAGTTTGGGAAATTTTCATGGGCGATATCCTCAAATATGTATTTTATGTTGCTTGCTGTCTTTACTTCTCATTCAGGGATGGCAATGCATCAGTCAGAGATTTGGTTGATTTATATAATCTCATTTTTCTCCAAGGTTTCGTTCATTCTTTATTATTTTTTTACAATTTTTTTTTCTTACTGAGTTATTTTGGAGATCCAGTCTTCGAGCTCTGAGATCCTTTCCTTGACTTGGTTGATTCTGCTGTTAATATTTGTTATTATATTATAAAATTCTTTTTTTTTTTGAGACAAGGTCTCACTGTGTTGCTCAGGCTGGAGTGCAGTGATGTGATCATGGCTCACTGCAGCCTCAACCTCCTGGGCTCAGCTATCTACCCCCTAAGTAGCTGGGACTACAGATGCACAGCACTACGCCTGGCTAATTCTTATATATTTTTTGTAGAGACAAGGTTTCACCATGTTACCCAGGCTGTTACCAAACTCCTGAGCTAAAGTGATTCACCCACCTTGGCCTCCCAAAGTGCTGGAATTACAGGCATGAGCCACCATGCCTGGCTCTTATTATAAAATTTTTGAAGTAAGTTTTTCAGCTCTGTCAGATCAGTTTACTTCTTTCTCAAAATGGCCTTTTCGTCTTTCATCTTCTGTATTGTTTTATTATATTCATTAGATTCCTTGCACTGGGCTTTGAAATTCCCCTGAATTTCAATGATCTTCATTTCTATCAGTATTCTGAATTCTGGCCAGGTGCGGTTGCTCAAGCCGCTAATCCCACTTCTTTGGGAGGCCAAGGCAGGTGGATCACTTGAGGTCAGGAGTTTGAGACCAGCCTGGCCAACTAAAAGTACAAAATTACTCTCTACTAAAATTCATCTCTACTAAAAGTACAAAAATTACCCAGGCCTGGAGGCAATAACCTGCAATCCCAGCTGCTTGGGAGGCTGAGGCAGGAGAATTGCTTGAACCTGGGAGGCGGAGGTTGTAGTGAACTGAGATCACGCCATTGTATTGCACTCCAGTCTGGGCAACAGAGGGAGACTCTGTCTCAAAAAAGAAAAGAAAACAAAAATTCTGAATTCTATTTCTGTCATTTCAGACTGATTAAGACCCATTGCCAGGGACCTAGTGTGGTCATTTGTAGGTGAGAAGACACTCTGGCTTTTTGATTTGCTAGAGTTCTTGCACAGGTTCTTTCTTATCTGTGTGTGCTGATGTTCTTTCAATCATTGACGTTTCTGTCTTTTGAATGTTTTTCTTTTTTTTTTGCTTTTATTTTCTTTGATGCCCTTGGTGATTTTATTGTGGTGTAATGTGGGTTCAGTTGACTCTTAACTTTTGTTTCTAGAAGATTTTAGGGAGCCAAGGTTCAGATTATCACTCCTGGACGGTGTGCTGTAACTCAGGGGATGGGGACTAGGCCCCTGGCTTTGTTCTCTGACCCCTCGAGGTTAGGAGCCTGCTGCACTAGAGGGGCTGAGTTGTTCCCAGTTTGCTGGCCACAACACTCTAATGTGTGATGCCAGTCAAAGTGCTTCACTGGTACAGCAACAGTGGTATTCATGCTCACTCATGTGTGCCAGCAGCTTGGCAGTGTGGTGAGGTGCACACACATTGGCTAGGACAGGGTACTAGTGGGAATAGGGCTATGGCATTCCTGTGCGTGCTTGCACTGGTAGCAGTGGCAGCATGACAGTAGTGGGGTGCTGGCAGGCTCAGGGCTGTCAGCCTCTGTGCACGCATTTGCACTGTTCAGCATTGGTGATGCACAGACGGAAGGGCTGCCAGTATCCATATGCAGTGGTGGCTGTGGGGACAGGGCCACTTGCCTTTAACTTTGACTTTACTATTTTCTCTGCCATTTTCCATTGCTTCAGCTTGTAAATTATGGTCTTCCTTCCAAACAGAGTTCACACATCACCTGAGATAGGAAGTATTATTTGGCTTATAACTTTATCCGACTTAGATATCTTATACTTTAAAATAGGAAGCCATATATAACTCTCAAAACACATTTGTTATTTAGAACATAAAATAAAATTTAAAACATATACAAAGCCTCCAGTTTCTAGGAATATGGATGGGAGATTGCTTTGCTTATGGGCGATAAAATATTGTTGACTAGGTATGGTCTGCCTCTTTCATTAAAAAACACTAAACATACATGAGTAAAATAAATGAAATAAAGAGATGATAAAATATAATCTCCTGGCCCAAATGCAAATAAAAACAAATTCCAAAGAATTAAATTTCTCCAGAAGGTGACTTTACTGTGAGTATATTTTCTCAACTGGAGGAAGTTGAACTTTAGGCTTTTCTGCTTTAGAAACAAAGCACCAGAAATGAAACCTAGAATAGGTTTGGTATGGCCTATGGAGTGGGGATATATTTGGCATAAATGTGGAATCCCAAAGCTATTCTCTCACCATAACAGCAAACCAAAAGAAGCTCTCCTACCACTCATTAGCAGGCACCTGCAAGAAATCGCCTTATCTTCAGCAGATCAGCAGACAACAGGAGGAAGTTCCATGCAGGTTTTAACCAACAAACTCATTCATTATTTTAGCAAATAACACTTCATATTGATTTGATCTTTGGTTTGTAACAAACTAGTAACTAAGGTTCATAGAGATATGGAAAATAAAGCAAGATAGGGCAAAGTACTTTGTTTAATTTCACGAAGTTGTCAAATGGCAGAGTTAAAACTATCTATAGTAGCAATCTTCCTCAGCTATTAAACTGCCTCCCTATTTCATGATGCTCCCCCAAATATCACTTGAAATATTGATGTTCAAATTAATAAAAACTTACGTGTTTTTACCCTCCATTGAATTTTTGATTGCCAAATTCCTAACTCAAAAAGATAAGTTCCTATACTCACTTTAGATTTTATGGAATTAAAATGTCATGGCAAGAGTGTATGTATGTGTGTGTGGTACATAAGCTATGAGTATTGACTTCCAGATTTCTATAGTGATTTTCTATTGCTAAATCCAAATATTTACATGTTTGATAGACAACATTCACAAAATAAAATATTTTAGATAAGATAGTAGAATAAATTAAAAAGTTAAAGATATAAAACCCATTATATTTCTTATTTAGTTTCCATTCTATAAATATAGATAGTATATAATAACAAGTAAAATAAAACATACATATAAATACATATGATAGAATGTCCTGAGTTTATAATATTTTCTAGTATCCCATACCTTCTATTTATTCCATGTTTATTTTAAGGAAAAAAAATTCTATGTCTGTTTTTAAAGAATCTATAATATGAAAACATTCCAATATGCATAGGTTCTTATAGCAGGAAAACAGAAAGATGTTCTTTCAGACATAAAGGCCCATACTAATATAAATATATTTCCCCAGTGGAAGTCAAGTAAAAAGAGTTTGAAGTATAATAAAATTAACCATGAGATAACCAGTCAAGATAGTTTAATCAAAATGCTTGCCATTAATAAATTCAAGTAATAACAATCCCGGCTTAAAATTATGAACTATTTTAGACCAAATAGAAAGTAAAACATCAGGGGAAAGGAATGAGGAAAATTCCCAACTTCTCTAAATTGGCATCCAACATTCTGAAGTATCTTAATCTTTCTGCAACAGACATTTAAGATAAAGGTAGTATGACCAACAGCATCCAAGAGATGTCAAGAGGATTGTTAGATATCTCTTTCATTCAGTAACCTCTTTCTACATGGTGGTTATGTTACCTTTCCCCTAACGTTTCCTCAAACAACCATGTGGTAGCAAACCAATTATTATAAGAATCTAAAAACATGTTCTTTTTAACTTATCATAAGCATATTTTCTGGTATCACCATGAGTACTTCTTTGTCCATGAACATGAGGTATCTTCCAGTTTTTGTGTGTGTCTTTTATAACTTATTTTATCAATGTTTTATAGGTTTATGTGTAGAGATATTTCACCTCTTTTGATTAAATTTTCTCCTATTTTTTATAGCTATTGTAAATAGGATCGTTTTCTTGATTTTTTTTTTACGGATAGTTTGCTTTTAGTGTTTAGAAATGCTACTGATTTCTGTATGTTGATTTTGTATCATGCAACTTTAGTAAATTTGTTTAATTGCTCTAGCAGTTTTGGTGAAATCATGAAGATTTTTTTCTGTATAAGATCATGTCCTTGCAAACAGGGACAACTTAACTTCCCCATTTCCAATCTGGATGTCTTTTATTTCTTTCTCTTGCCTAATTAATGTAGCTAGCACTTCCACTTGAGTATAAGTGGCAAGAGTGGGCATCCTTGTCTTGTTCTTGAGTTTAGAGGAAAAGTTTTCAACTTTTCCCTGTTAAGTATGATGTTAGCTGAGTATCATATATGACCTTCATTGTGTTGACATACATTTTTTCTATATCTAATTTGTTGAGAGTTTTTTTTTTATTATGAAGAGATGTTGAATTTTGCCAAATGCTTTTTCTGCATCTATTTAAATAATCATATGGTTTTTCCTCTTCATTCCATTAATGTGGTGTATCCCATTTATAGATTTACATATGTTTATTCATCTTTGTATCCCTGGGATGAAGCCCATTTGATTGTGGTGAGTGACTTTTCTTGTTGTAATGAAGGATTTGATTTGCTTGTTGTTTTGTTGAAAATTTTTGTATCTATATCCTTTCGAAATATTGGCCTGTACTGGTGATTTTTCTTTTTTTGTGTCCTTTTCTAGCTTTGATATCATGGTAATTTGAGCCTTGTAAAAAAGTTTGGAAGTATCCCCTCCTCTTCAGTTGGTTGAAAGAGTTTGAGAAAGATTGTTATTAGTTCTTTAAATGCTTGGTAGAATTCAGCTGTGAAATTTTCAGGTCTTGAGCCTTTCATGGATGGCAGATTTTTATTACCGATTCAGTCTCCTTACTCGTTATTTGTTTGTTCAGATTTTCTATTTCTTGATAATTCAATCTTGGTAGATTGTATGTGTCTAGGAATTTATCCATGTGTTTTAAGTTATGCAATTTTTTGGCTCATAATTATTTACAATAATTTATTATTATCTTTTGGACTTCTGTTTGAGTCATACTGTCTTCTTTTTTATTTCTGATTTTATTTATTTGCATTTTCTCTCTTTTTTTTATAGTCTAGCTAAAAGTTTGGCTATTTTATCTTTACAAAAAACTTTTAGTTTTATTGATCTTTTCTGTTGTCTTCCTAGTCTCCATTTTATTTCTGCTCTGATCTTTTGTTCTTGTTTTCCTAGTTCTTTGAGGTACAATGCTGTTTTTTTATTTGAGATCTTATTTTTTTAACATAGGCATTTATTGCTATAAACATTCATCTTACAGCTGTTTTTGCCATATCTCACGAGTTTCAGTATGCTGTGTTTAAATTTTTATTTGTTTCAAGATCTCTTTTTTTGAGACAGAATCTTGCTCTGTCACCCACGCTGGAGTGCAGGCTGCAGTGGAGTAATCTCGGCTCACTGCAGCCCCTGCCTCCTGGTTTCAAGTGATTCTCCTGCCTCAGCCCCCCAAGTAGCTGGGATTGCAGGTGCCTGCCACCACATCCAGCTAATGTTTGTATTTTTAATAGAGACGGGGTTTCACCATGGTGTCCAGGCTGGTTTCAAACTCCTGACCTCAGGTTATCTGCCCGCCTCGGCCTCTCAAAGTGCTGGGATTGCAGGCATGAGCCACCATGCCTGGCCTTCAAGCTCTCTTTTTACTTATATTTTTATTTCTTCTTTTACTTTTTGGTTTTACAGAATTGTATTGTTCAATTTTCAAATATTCATAAATTCTCTAAAATTCCTCCTGTTATTGATTTCTAATTTCCTATCATTATGGTCAGAAAAGATATTTGATATGATTTTAATTTTCTTAAATTTGTTAAGCCTTTCTTTATGACCTTACATTGATCTATGGAGAATGTTCCATTTATACTCAGAAAGAATGGATATTCTGGTGCTCTTAGAATGTTCTATACATGTCTATCAGGTTCATTTGGTCCACAGTGTTGTATTAATACAAGTCTACTGTTCCCTTATTAAATTTCTGTCTGGAACATCTATCCATTGCTGAAAATCATATACTTAAGTGTCCTAATATTATTGTATTAATGTGTCTTTTTGTCCTTTAGTTTTGTTAGTATTTTCTTTATGTATTTAGATGCTCTCATGTTGGGCGCATCATATTTTCAATTGTTATTTCCTCTTGATTCTTTGATCCTTTTATCACTATACAATGAAATTCTTTGCCTCTTGTGACAATTTTGACTTAAAGTCTGTTTTGTGTTATAGATGGATAGCAACCTCTGCTCTCTTTTGTTCACCATTTGCATGGGATATCTTTTTCCATCCCTTCACTTTCAGCTTTTGTGTATGCTTAAAGCTTAAGTGAGTTGTTTGTTGACTGGTAGCATATAGATGGAGCTTGCTTTTTTTTTATTTTTTTGAATTCATTTAGCCACTCTGTCTTTTGACTAGAGAATTTCTTTCATTACATTTAAGGTAATTATTGATAGGTCAGGATTTATGCTGCCATTTTGCAATTGATTTTCTGACTGTTTTGTAGTTACTTGCTTTCTCTCTTACTGTCTAGCTTTGTGACATGATTGTTTTGGTGGTGTGCTTTAATTCTTTCTTTTTTTATTTGTGTATCTACTGGAACTTTTTTCTCTGTGGTTACTGTGAGGCTTACATAAAACATCTTTTAGTTATAAAAGCTAATGACAAGTTAAACTGGTAACATCTTTACTTTGACTGCATCTAAAAGCTCTACATTTTAACTTCTCTTTCTCCTTTATTTTATGTTATTGATGTCACATTTTACATGTTTTATATATTGTATGTACATTAACAAATTATTGTAGCTATGTTATTTTTAATACTTTGGTCTTTTTTATATTAGCGTTAAAATTGATTTACTTACCACCATTACAGTATGAGAGTATTTTAAATTGGATTACATTATTACTTTTAGAGCAAGTTTTATAGTTTCATATGCGAGATAGTTCTCCGGATGGCTTTGGACTGACCCAGTTCTCCCTCCTTCCTTTGTTTGCCTATATATCTCAGAAAAAATGTAGAATGTACTGATAATGCAACACCTTTAGATAAGGAACCACTGCTCGAAACAGCCTAAACCTTTTTTTTTTTTTTTTTTTTTTTCTGTCTCTCCTACATGTATCATCTTAAGTTAGGGCAGAACTCTCTGGGATAGCCGCGGTTTTGTTTTGTATATGTTCACTGGAGGCACGGTGCTCTTCAAAACTTTTTCCAGGGACTCACATGGCCCTTGAGGTATATAACCTAGGGTGGGTTGCCTTTTGGCTTCTTCCACTTGTGGTGCAAGTTGGACACATGCGGTGAATACCGCATCACTCCAGGCAGCTTTCTTAAACATTATTTTTGTACTAGAGGATTAGATAGAGTCATAAAGCTGGACTGTAAGGAGCTGGGAAAAAAGGTATTAGTTGAGTATGTAAGGATCACTTTATCTAGTCTTTGGTGTAAGCAAAGATATTGCAGCTAGGACCTCAAAAGCACAGGCAGCAAAAAACAAAAATAGACAAACCAGACTATATTAAGCTAAAAAATATCAGAACAGAAAGGGAAACCAATCAATATAGTGAAGACAGAATCAGTTGAATGGAAGAAAATATTTGCAAACTATTTATCTAATGAGGAACTAGTATTGGGGATATACAAGAAACTGAGCTCAACAGCAAACTAAATAAAAAAATAATAATAATCCCATTAAAAAATTGTCAAAGAATCTGAAAAGACATTTATCAAAGGAAAACCTACAAATGGCCAACAAGTATATGAATAAATACTCAACAACACTGATGATCAGGGAAATGCAAATCAAAACCATAATGAGATATCGTTTTATCCCACTTAGAATGGCTATTATAAAAATTAAAACCCAAATTAACAAATGCCAGCAGTGATATGGAGAAAAGGGAACTCTTCAAAATTACTATATATTTTTTAAAAAGTATTCATTTTTACAGCTGTTTACAAAACTTATTTCATCTCATATTCAGAGGATACATGTGCATATTTGTTACACGGGTATACTGTGTACTGGTGGGGATTGGGCTTATGGCGTACCCATTACCCAAATAGTGAACAGTGTACCCAATAGGTTATTGTTCAACACTTGTCCCCCTCCATCTCCTTTGTTGGAGTCCCCATTGTCTATTATTTCCATTTTTATGTCCTTGTGTACTCATTGTTTAGCTTCCATTTTTAAGTTAGAACATGTGTTATTTTGTTTTCTGTATCTTACTTTACTTAGGGTAATGGTCTCCAGCTCCATTCTTCTTGTTGCAAAGGACATAATTTCATTATTTTTTTATGGCTGTGTAGTATTATCTGGTGTATCTATACCATGTTTTCGATATCCAGTCAACCACTGATTGACACATGTTGGTTCTATGACTTTGCTATTGTGAATAGTGCTGCAATGAACATATGAGTGCAGGTGGGATTTTTGGCTTTTTATCTTTTTAATATAATGATTTGTTTTCCTTTGGATAGATAGTAGATAGTAGTTGGACTGCTGGATAAAATGTTAGTTCCATTTTTTTTGAGGAATCTCCATATTGTTTTTCATAAGATTGAACTAGAAAAGATAACTCTTGTACACTGTTGGTGGAAATGTTAATTAGTACAGCCATTACGAAAACAATATGGAGGTTCTCAAAAAACTAAAAATAGAATTATCATATGATTTAACAATCTCACTATGTGGTATTTCTACAAAGAACAAAAAATCAATATATCAAAGGGATACCAGCACCCCCATTTTTAGTTAAGCACTGTCCACAATAGCCAAGATACAGAAGGAAACTGTGTCAATCAACTGATGAATGGATAAAGAAAATGTGATTTTATATATATATATACACACACACACACACATATATATGTACACACACATATATATGTTATATATTTTGTCATATATGTGTATTTAGAAGACAAAATCTGTTGAATGAGAGAAAATATTTGCAAACTATTCATCCAATGAGGGCCTAAAATTGGATATATACAAGAAACAAGAAATATGTATATGGGGATATATGTATATATACATATATATATATATCTCACATTTTCTTTATCCATTCATCAGTTGATGGACACATATATATATATACGTGTGTGTGTGTATATACACACACACACACACACAATGAAATACTATCCAGCCATACAGCAGAATTAAATCCTGTTATTTACAACAACATGGATGGAATTGAAGGTCATTATGTTAAGTAAAATATGCCAGGCACAGAAAGACAAGTATCATTTGTTCTCACTCACATGGGGTAGCTACAAAAATTTATCTTATGGAGGCAGAAAGTAGAATGATAGTTACCAGATACTAGGAAGGATGTGGAGGGTGTGGACCAAAAGAGGTTGGTTAATCAGCACAAATATTCATTCAGACAGAAGGAATAAATTTTATTGTCTGATATCACAGTGTGGTGACTATAATTAACAACAATATATTGTATATTTCAAAAGAGCTAGAAGAGAAAATTTGAAATGTTTCTAGCACAAAGAAATAATACATGTTTAAGGTGATGGATATCCTAAATAACTCAATTTGATCATTACACATTGTATTCATGTATCAAAATGTTACATGGACCCCATAAATATGTACAAATATTATGCATTAGTAAACAATGACTAAAAATGTTTAAAAAACAATAAAGATGAAAAAGAAAATAATAATTTAGTTTTTATTTTAATTGTACTAGAATGTTTCCAGCAGGCAAGTATTGATATCTGATTTATGATACATATATACTTTATATATATATAAATTACTCTTGCTTTTGTGTGGAAAACAAATTGTGGAAAGTTTGAAAGCAGAAAGACTCTTCTTCAAGCTACTTCCAGCCAGGAAGAAGGGATTAAAATGAAGCTGTGTCAATAGTTTTCTTTTTAATAGAAGACAGGGCAAATTCTTTAAAAAACATATAGAACAAATGGAATATATAGAAATTGTGTGCAGCTTATGTATGATGTATGAAGAAGTCTATATGTCTCACTGATTTTTGCCTTGAATGATGGGATGAAATTCAGCATCATGTACTATGTTAGGGAAGGCATGAAGAGGAGAAGATTTGGGGTTAGTTATAGAGGGTAGAGGCTAAGAGATGATGAAATTATTTTTGGAATTGGTTTTGAGTTACCTGTTGGGCATTTAACTAAAATGTATATGATAGAAATGTATATAAAGGAAAGACAGATATCCAAGGGGGCAAGTGAGTAATGGTAGTGAAATTGTCACTGAATAGGAAAGAAATCTCATGAAGAAATTGAGAAGGAAACCAGGAGGTAGGGATGCCCTGTAAAATAAGAGAGGGGACAGTTTAGGAAGGCAATTTCAGTTAACTGTTCCAGAGAAGAGCAGAAAGGAATATAAAAGTATCAGTGGAATATAGTAATAATGGCAGTAATTATTGACCTTGTTATAAATAGTTTCACTGGGATCAGAAACTTTGGACGGTGAGGACACCTCTTTCAGAGAAGTATAGAAACAGAGTAATATTTAGTTTAGGTTATTATTTGGAGAGGCAACGTTGCAATAAATATTGTATTAGGTAGAACACAAAGTCATGTACTTGGAGTGAGGGTAAATGGATTGGTTAAGCATTTGATGGGCGAGATGAAAATTTGAATAACTACTGAGGGTAGAAAACTCGGCTAAATCATATGCTAATAGGAACAGTAAATATTCTCAAGGACTATTGGAAAACATTTGCTTACGTTAACAAATCCATCATTATATTCTTAAGTCATTATCAGCATGAATATTACACTAAACACATTAAAATTACTAAATTAAATGTATTTCAACATCTTTTATATATACTAAATTGTGGTTCACACATTTTTAACAAAATTATCTCATAAAGAACAGCTATTTTTGTATATTTCTAATCCAGAAGACATGCTGTTTTATTAATTAGTGTACAAGGAATTGTTAGGTTAGATGATTATGTTCAATTAAGTATAATGAATATAATTAATGTAGTTGGTGTTTTAGGTTCTTGAGTTAATAGTGCCATTAAATGCTGCTGTTTTTATTGTGGTAGTGATTATTGGTATAATAGAATACAGAACTTTGAGATGATAGGAAAGTTGAACATTTTACTACTCTTTTATAGCAAGTTGTACATATACATTCAATATGTGTGTGTGTATATATGTATGTTTATACATATATTTGTTTGTCATTTAAATAGTAGATCATAACTTAAACACATTATAGAATGATAGATTTCTAAGTCATTACATTAACCACTTCAGAACATTTATTTCTTATCTATTTAGAAAGAGTGGTTTGGAAATTGAAATATGGGTATCAAATTATACTTAGAAGATGAGTATATAGCCTTTTAATTATCTGAAATGAGAAAACATTCATTTGGTTTCTATACAGATTTGTTAAGCATTGTAAACATGCCAAATATTTTAGATAAGGTAATTTTTCTTATTAAATGCTTTAATATTTTACTTTTATGTAAAAACAATTTCGATATTAGCCATCAATAACAACACACAATACAATTTGAATAATAATTATAATTTGTTTCCCTACCTACTTCTACAGGCAATATTAATGAATATTTAAGTACTGATAAATGAAAATTCTTCTTATAGCTTTAAGCAGTGTTGTAAAAAGCATATGAGCTATGTTTCTTGAATTATTTATAGTATAAAGAGCATAAAGAAAACATTTTAAAAATAATTTAGAAATATATTGATTCTAAGCTAAAGTTGTATTATATTACATTGGTAAATGGGAAAAAATTCTTGTTTTGTATGTATTTTCTCATTTTATATATGACCACGCATAATTCCATGTGTTTTATTTTCTCTTTTCTTAGTCATGTAAGCCTGCCTGCAGCTCATTTGACTTCTATTGTGTGAGCTAACTAAAAGTTCCTACTTATAAATGTTTTGAAAGGATAAGATACCCCATAAATATTTATCTCCTTACTTTAGAAACTCATGTTATGCATTTTTTTTGTGGTAAAGATTTGTGTTTCCCTCCTCAAGGATGCATTTTCTTAATGTTTGAAGTTTCCAAGTGGTGTCTTAACATACAATTTCACGATTTATTTTCTGAAAATGGGAGATGACTTTTCTTTGTGTTGGGTGTTGAAAATGTGTCCGGAGTTCTAGTTTGTCAACTACATATACCTTTCAATATTGGGAAGAAGATGTTGTTTCTGATGGTTTTCTTTCAGCGAAAATGTACTCATCATAAAATAAGGGTGAGATATATTAATTCAAAAGACTTTTGGTGTAGTCAAAAGTACTGAAAACATTTAGAAACACTGAAAAACACAAATTCTTTTGTCTTCAATATCCTTTCATATAAGATAAAAAAGTTGGAACAAATTTGTGTTTTTCAAACTGTCCTCCTTTATTCCTTTTAGTTAGGACCACTGCATGTGGCTGTGTACGGTGCAAAAACAGAGGTTCCAACTGGCAACCTATAGGCTGACAGGACCATGGTTCTAAGAGTAACCCATAAAGGAGTGGGCAATAGGTCTAAGTAGTAAGATTCTGAACCTCCAATTCATAGATTCAATCAGAGAGCAGCTATACCTTTAAATGTTACATTAGATTGAAATTACTGATTCCTTGAATTTATTTTCTTATAAAATCCATCTATGTGTGTGTGTGTGTGTGAAGAATTAAAATGATTGATTTAGTTTTTTATTGTTTAGTACTATTTAGTTTTTATTTTTTCTTGAATTAGTTTTGGAAAGTTGTATTTTATCAGAAACGTTTTCGTTTTCTTTTGCTTAAAATCTCTCCAACAAAAAATTTTGTAGTTTTTTCCATCTTTTTATATCTGTAGCATTTGTAGCTACATTTGTATATTAATGTATAATATGTGTATTTGTGTTCTCTGTTAAGTTTTTGACTGGTGTTATAGATTTACCAAATTTATTAATTTTTTTAAAAGATTCAACTTTGTGTCCTGTTAAAAAGTTGTAAAAACCTGTTACAAGTTGAAATTTCAACTGTGTTTATTTGAGTAAAGAAAACCAAAGCAAAGCAAAACAAAACAAATAAAAATAAAACAGAAATGATTCACACATGAGCAGCTCTCCAAACCAGATCAGGTTCCAAGAATTCCAACCAATAACATGATCTGACAGCATTTATAGAAAATAGATGTGTCGCTTAGAGAAAACTTAATTGGTTACGGCTTAATTGGGTAATTGGTTACAAAGCCTCCTCTAATTAACTAAAGCTCAGCTACTATAGTTAGACTCCACATTGGTTTTGTCTTTTAGTCTTAGTGAAGGAGCTTAGTGCAAATCAATGGCCGCACATAAATTTTATTTAACAGTCTCTTTAAACCTCTTTATCGGGCATATGTGATGTTTGAATACAGGCATACAATGTGTAATAATCCAATCAGGGTAATTGGAGTATCTATCACCTCAAGCATTTACCATTTCTCTGTGTTAGGAACATTCCAATTCCACTCTTTAGTTATTTTAGAAGATATGATAAATTATTGTTGATTATACTCACTCTGTTTTGCTAATAAATTCTAGATCTCATTCATTCTATCTATGTTTTTGCACCCTTTGACCATCACACTTTATCCACTCCTCCGTGCTACCCTTTCCAGCCTCTGGTAACTACACTGTCTATCTCCATTAGTTAAATTGCCTTAATTTTTAGCTCCTACATATGACTAAAAACAAGTGAAATTTGTTTTTCTCTGCCTGGCTTGTTTCACTTAACGTAACGTCCTCCAGTTCCATCTATGTTGCTACAAATAACAGGATTTCATTATTTTTTATGGCTGACTAATAAATACTCCATCCTATATATGTGCCATGTTTTCTTTATCTATTCATTCATTGATTCAAAATCTTGGCTCTTGTGAATACTGCCGCAGTAAACATGGGAGCACAGATACTTCTTCCATATACTGATTTTCTTTCTTTTAGATATGTACCTAGCAGTGGAATTGCTGGATCATATAGTAGTTCTATTTTTAGATGTTTGAGGAACCTCTATATTGTTATCCATAATGGCTATGCTATTTACATTCCTGCCAACAGTGGGATGTGTGTTCCCCACAGTGTATGAGGGTTCTCCTTTCACCACATCCTCACCAGCATTCATTATTGTGTTTTGTAATTTTTGATTGTGAGTTGTCAGTGTTATAAGTCTTATCTCAGGTGATCCTTGTGGCTGGATTACAAGGATATTCTTCCAGGAGGAGTTGTTCTTGATCTTGTCAGGTTCCTGAGAACACCACAAACTCATTTCCTCTTAATTAAATGAATAGTCTTGAGATACCACTGTAAATTCAGACTTCAATCTGTGACTAGATTTTTTTCTTTCAACTTCATCAAGTAATAAAGCAGGTTTAGAATTTTCCTTGTGGTGTGCTTTACTTTGGAGCAAGTTTATTTCCATTTTAAAACCTCTTCCCAGGTATTTATCTTATCCTAAAATTAGCTTTGTGTATAGTATTCCCCAATCCATCACTACCTTTCACAAACCCCTGATCTTTATATAAAAATGATTTAATACCTGGGTTCTGACTATCTCCTGATGGCATCTGGCAACTTAATTGCTTAATAACATTTCTAAACCACATCCCATTATCTTCCTTGGGCTCCATTTTCTTCAGACATTATATATATATGAAAGGATATTAAGTTAATTTTACCCAGCATTTTATGTATTTTATAATCAGATTTTCAAATCAGATATCGTCTGAAGAGTTTTGATGTTATAAAAATTTTAATATCACTGGAATATATAATTTTAAAGTCCCCTCTAATTCACTATAATTTATGATCCTTTCATTATTTTATAACTAGCCATTAATATATAATTAATTGCTTATGGCATAAAATAAATACCTTAAGAATTTAAGTTTACATAAATAGCAAAACAAAGACCAACTTCTTACAGTCAACCTAAATTATTAATGTGTGGATTCATTCACTATGAATGTGTGCTTCCCTCATCTTTACCTACTCTAGTCATAAAAACAATTTTTTTTAATTTTACTCTGGAAGAATGCTTTACAATTTTGGCTTTATGATAAAAAATATATCTCAAGCAAAGCAATAACTCCTTAATATGATGTCTTAACTCTAAACATTACACTGATGCTATTTAGTATATTGAGGCTTGGTATGAGCATTCATTGTTTATTTTGGTAATGTGCCCATTTAGATATATTTGGAAAAAAATCATGACATGATACATATAAAATTTTAAGACATTATGTGAACTTTAATGAAAAGGCCAGCAAAAAGCATATTCATTTAGGAGATCTTAAAGACTGATCCTCATATTAAGTCCAATTAAATTGTGTACAGTAATAATATCTTATAATGGCTTTGTAATATTTCACTTTATATATTAGCCAAACAGTATCACTATTTATATATAAAGAAATTGGCTTAACAGTAAATAAAAATTGTGTATATCATGCTAGAATTGCCACTGGTTGCTTTTTCTACATTTCATCTTCTCTTTTTGTTTTTCACTTTATGCCTACTTTTTCTTTTGGCTTTCATCTCTCTCTCTCTCTCTTTATTTCTTTATGTTTGTTTCTTCAATCCTAATATCCTCACTTGTTACCAATAATTTGCCTACTTTAAATTCTTTTTTTTTTAAAAAAAGATTCCATTTCTGCCCCCCGCCCCCCACAACAACAACAAGAACAACAACAACGTAACACATAGACCAGCAACACTTCAGGGTAACACCAAATTTTTTATTATTCAGTGTTTAAGTCTACCAAGACTTATATACATAGAAATTACATACTTTTGACTCTTAACTTAGAACCCACTCATGTTTTGGATTCAAAACCCATATTCTAAACAATTTTATTCTTTGTTTCCTCTATCCCAGCCATATACCTGGGAAGGTGCTTTATGAATTATTGTTGGATATGGCTTACAACCATTGAATGCTTACCCTAAGTTCTATGCTTATTTTCTCCATTGCAGGTACAAATATTTTTCTAACCACATACAAATACGTAGTACCAATTATGTACTTTAAACTAATATTTGAATAGTGCTTTATAATTTATAAAACAATTTCATGTATATTGTTTCAACTTTGTATGGAAGATAGTAGAATTATCTGCATTTTATGAATGGAGAAACTGAGACTCAAAAAGATAAAATGATTTACCTAATATGATAACATGAATCCTGGCCTACTTTAGATGATGAATAAATGTTTACTGCATGAATAAAATAATGACAGAGTAGTTTTATATCAAAGCTCTTTTGCTTGCTACCTCTGTGATCTTGCACAATTTTCTTGAGCATTCTGAGCCTCAGTTATATTTTCTGAAAGTTGAAAATAACGGTGTTCTTTTAAAAGAACAGCTGTGTAAGATGTTAACTATGGGGCTTTAAAAAATGAAATAACTACTATGAATATTAAATGGAATAACATATTATGACATAATGCAGAGTAAATACTAAATTAATTTAGCTTTCTTCTTTTATCTAAAGAAGTCATGGTTAGTTTTTGGTGTTTCAGGATATACAACAATATTCTTCATTTAAACCAGGTGTTTTACTTCTCTGCTATATTATTATTTTTGCAAAAATGTGTTGCATATCACCGTCAAAGTGAAGAAATACAAAGTTTGGAGTATTTATTGATAAAATAGGGCTACATTTACATTTATGAAGGCTATACATATTTAGATGTTGTAATTTACATTTCCATACATTGGCTGTGACAAACTAAGCCTAAAACTCATTTATAAATTTAATTAAAGATTAAAATTTATTTTTTTAAATTGGCCTATTTTATAAACACATAAAAACATCTGCCCTACATATTTATATTTTTAACAGTGTTAGAATTGTAAGAGAAAATATATTACAGAGGTGATTCCCCTGTAAGATGTAACTGAGGTGTAAGATGTAGACTTAAGATTTCTCCAAAGGATTTATTCCTTTGACATTAACACTGGCATCTACTGAAACATTCCTTGTACTGAGAGGATAAAATATTTGACATTTTATATACAAAGACCACTGCAGTACAAAAAAAAATCTTATTCTTTTGTTTGATCCTGCCCCCCATTCTGAATTTTGAGAAACTCTTACATGATTATTTTTTGCCTCACTACAAAAATACAGATTAAATGTCAAAATCAGAGCCATGTTGAATAGTTGAAATCTTGTCTCTACGATTTTCTTTTTAGTTTGGATTTCTGAAAGCTGACTCAAGCTCATGTTGCATAAAAAGTTTCTTTCCTCATTTCTCTAGGATAACCTGGTTTTCTGCACATAATGCTTAGGCTGTGCAGCTTAAATGTAGGCTTGCACATGTTGCTGGTGGGTGTCTAGTGGCACACCCAATAGTTGTCTACATGTTGCAATTGTGCACTAATTAACTTGTTCTTAACAATAAACTCCTTAATAGCACTGGCTAAATCTGATTTTGTCCATGTATTCTCAAGCACTTCCTATGTACTGTATATACATCTTTGTACATATTATTAAACTGCCTTGGTTAAGAAAGGCATTCTTTCATCTTTTATTTAGTGCTTATTATGCGCTATGTACTGTGTAGATGCTAGAGATACAGAAATCAAGACATTGTTCTTTCTTGTAAGTGTTAACGAATAACAAACCCTTGAGTTCTTTTTATATTTTGATTTCTTGGCTATAGATACCACATGTTAAGACATACTTGTGACTTTATAACAAAGATGGGACATGTAAAACCTAGAAATTTCCTATTAATAAGAATATTTACAATAGGAAGAAATAATTTTTACAAATAACCTAGGAACACATATGAACTATAACTTGGAAAGATTATCATTTTATAAATGGTTCATTTTCTTATAGCTGCATTAATCCTAGAGGGTCAAAGAGTTGGAAAAATATAAAACTAATCCACATTACTGATAAAATAAGAGCTTAACCTGCTTAATAATGAGACATTAGAACAGTTTAATTGTGTGAACTAACACAAGAAAATATCCACCTAATGCTTAAAACTGCAATGAATTGAAATAAAAGCAAAGTCAAAATATCTTAGAAATTAAACATTATGCCCAGGCATGGTAGCTCATGCCTGTAATCCCACCACTTTGGGAGGCCAAGGTGAAAGGATTGCATGAGGCCAGGAGTTTAGACCAGCCTGGGCAACATAGTGAGACCGTTTCTACAAAAAATTTAAAAATTGTTGGACATGGTGGTGCGTGTCCGAAGTTCTAGCTACTCAGGAGGCTAAGGCTGGAGGAGTGCTTGAGCCCAGGAGGTTGAGGCTGCAGTGAGCCACGGATCACACCTCTGCATACGAGCCTGGATGACAGAGCAAGACCTGGTCTCAGAAAGAAAAAAAAGAAAAAAGAAAGGAAATTGAACATCTTAATACTTTATGTCATTAACAAAACCGATTCAACTATTTTTCTGATGGCACTATTAGATAACTCTTCAAAGTTAAAAAATAGTCTAAAGGTGCTAATAATTCTAGACGCAGGTATAATAATATAAAACGGGATTTCCAAAAGTCATCATTGTACAATGCTAATTCACTGAACACAGGCTTACGTACATCTTTGCTCTTGCTTTTTTTGAGCCATAAGGGTTTCTTATTTTGGGAACCTAAACTATGAGCTGTGCTATGCAACTCTCATCTTTGGATATAAGGGCTAGACATGATTTCTTGACGCCAAGAAAAAGGAGGTAATTTAATAATTTTTACTAATGCCAAGAGAGTTTGGAAGGTATATTTTTCTCTTTTTAATCTATCTTCATCTTCTCCTTCTTACTTTGTTGTTTCTGTACCTCCGTACTGTCACAATTTACTATCAGATGTGTCTTCATGGATTTCACAGTAAATAACTCAGACTATGAAATTGAACCAAATACTATTTTCTTATGTTAGGTTGTGTTGTGATAACAAATTATTTCATTTTGACATTTGATTGAAACTACCATCGTTTCTTGCTTACATTGCATGAGGGCTGTACATCGATTGTATCCCTGCTAAGCTTGTCTGGTCTCCACATGTCTTGTAATTCTTGGATACAGGCTGAAAAACAAATGATATCTTGGACATGGTATTCTCATGGAAAAGTGTACAAATGCAACAGCCCAAGCCATATTGTAGGGTCACATTTAAAACTTTCTCCTGGATGAAGTTATAATACACATGATGTCTGCTCACATTTCCTAGGCCAAAACTTGTCATTTGGCTATGCCCAAAGTCAATAAAATTGGTCTTATATTGCTCCTCTAGGATAATGACATAACAATGCATAAGACTGCAAATTCCATTACAGAGATAAAGAGTGAACAGCTGGGAGTATTAATTCAATCTACCACAATATCTTCAAGCAGATCATTTTTTTCTAAATTGCCCATCTTGTTGATAATACCTTTGATCACCGTGTATTGAAGATGGCAATCATTTGTAACTTCTGTTTATTCCTCACTAAGCACAATTAATTGACCACCAAAAATGTTATGATGCTACCTCTTCACTATCTTTTAAATTTGTTTCACTATATGTTCATCTGTTGCTACAATCTAAGTTCTAGCCATCATATCGTTTATCATATGAGTAATTACTTCTATTGCCTTCCTAAATTGACTTATTTAAAATGTCCCTTAAGTTTCTTTTCACACCAAATAAAAAAGGGTTATTTCAAAATAATGCGTTATGAGATGTTGCTCCTCTGAATATTTTGTGTGGTTTTTAAAAAATTCCAACATGTATTTTAGTTACACAGGACACATGTGCAGGTTTATTACATGGGAATATTATGTGATGCTGAGGTTTGGGGTACAGATCCTGTAATCCAAGTAGTGAGTGTACTACCTGATAGGTAGTTTTCCACATATCCCCTCCTCCCACCCTCCCCTCTCCAGTAGTCTGCAGTGTCTACTGTTCCCATATTTATGTCCATATGTGCTCAATGTTTAGCTCCCACTTACAAGTGAGAATATGTATTATTTGTTTTTCTGTTCCTGTGTTAATTCACTCAGGATGATGGCCTCCAACTGTATTCATGTTGCTGCAAAATACATGATTTTGTTCTTTGTTGTGGCTGTGTAGTATTCCATGGTATACATGGATTACCATTTCTTTATCCAGTCTACTATCAGTGGACACTTGCGTTGATTCCATGTCTTTGCTATTGTGAACAGCACAGTGATGCAGTGATAAACATAGAAGTACATGCATCTTTTTGGTAGAATGATTTATTTTCGGTTGGGTATATATGCAAAAATGAGATTGCTGGATTGAATGGTAGTTCTGTTTTAAGTTCTTTCAGAAATCTCCAGACTGCTTTTCACAGCGGCAAGGCTAATTTATATTCCAAGCAACAATGTATAAGCATTCTCTTTACTCTGAAGCCTCTCTAACATCTGTTTTTTTTTTCTTTTTAACTTTTTAATAATAGCCATTCTGACTAGTATGAGATAGTATCTCATTGTGATTTTCATTTCTCTGATGATTAGGGATGATGAGCATTTTTAAATATGTTTCTTGGCTGTGTGTCTTCTGAGAAGTGCCTGTTAATGACTTTTGCCTATTTTTTATTGTTTTTTTTTAATTATTTTGCTTGTTGATTTGTTTAAGTTCCCTATAGATTCTGGTTATTAAGCGTTTGTCAGATGCTTAGTTTGTGAATATCTTCTCCCATTCTGTAGGTTGGCTGTTTACTTTGTTGATAGTTTATTTTGTTGTATATAAGTGCTTTAGTTTAATTAGGTCCCACTTACCTATTTTTGTTTATCTTTCAATTGCTTTTGGGGACTTAGCCAAAAATTCTTTGCCAACGCTGATGCCAAGAAGAGTATTTCCTAGGTTACTTCTAGGATTTTTATAGTTTGAACTCTTCATTTGAATGTCTAATCCATTTTGAGTTATTTTTCGTACATGGTGAAAGGTAGAGGTCCAGCTTCAATCTTCTACATATAACTAGCCAGCTACTCTAGCACCGTTTATTCAACAGGGAGTCTTTTCCTCTTTTCTTGGTTTTGTCAGCCCTGTCAGAGATCAGATAGTTTTAGGTGTGTGACCCTATTTCTGAGGTTTATATTCTGTTCCATTGGTCTGTGTGTCTGTTTTGTAACATATCATGCTGTTTTGTTTGCTGTAGCTTTATAGTATAGTTTGAAGCTGGGTAATGTGATATCACTGGCTTTGTTCTTTTTGCTTAGGATTGCTTTGGCTAGTCAGGATTTTTTTTTGTTCCAAATAAATTTTAGAATAGATTTTTTTTAATACTGCGAAGAATAAAGTTCATAGTTTGATAGGAATAGTATTGAATCTGTAAATTGCTTTGGGTGGTGTGGCCATTTTTACAATATTGATTCTTCCAGTCCATGAGCATGTAATATTTTTCTATTTATTTGCATTGTCTTTGATTTATTTCAGCAGTATTTGATAGTTTTCCTTTTAGAAATATTTTACTTCCTTGATTAGCTGTATTTCTAGGAATTTCATTTTCTTTGTGGCTGTTGCTAGTGGGATCATGTTCTTCATTTTACGCTCAGCCAGGACCCACATTAGTGTATAGAAATGCTACTACTTTTTGTACATTGATTTTATATCTTGAACCTTTAGTAAAGTTGTTTATAGGGTCTAAGAGCCTTTGGGCAGATTGTTTAGCATTTTGTAGGTCTGGAATCATATCAGTGAAGAGAGATAGGTTGAGTTTTTCTTTTCCTGCTTAGACACTTTTCATTTCTTTCTCTTGTCTGATTGCTTTGGCTGGGACTTCTAGTACTGTGCTGAATACCAGTGGTGAGAAAGGGCATTCTTGTCTTGTTCCAGTTCTCAAGGGGAATGGTTCATGCTTTTACCCATTGAATATGATGTTGGCTATGGGTCTATTATAGATGGCTCTTATTATTTTTGGGGTTATGTTCCTTTCATGCCTAGTCCATTGAGGGTTTTTATCATGGAGGGATGTGGGATCTTACCAAAAGTTTTTCCATGTCCATTGAGATGATTATATGGTTTTTGCTTTTAATTCTGTTTATGTGGTGAATCAAATTTATTGATTTGGGTATGTTGAACAAGCTCTGCATCCCAGGAATAAATCCTACTTGATTGTGGCATATTAACTTTTTGATATGCTGCTGGATTCAGTTTGCTAATATTTTGTTGAGAATATTTGTGTGTATGTTCATTAGGGAAATTGGCCTGATGTTTTCTTTTTTTCATTGTGTCTCTGCCAGATTTTGGTATCAGACTGATTTTGGCTTCATAGAATGAGTTAGGGAGGAGCCTCTTTTCCTCAATTTTTCTGGAATAGTTTCAGTAGGATTATCATCAGTTCTTCCTTTTATATTGGTAGAATTAGGCTATGAATACATTTGGTCCAGGGCTTTTTTGGTTGGTCGGTTCTTTATTTCTGATTCAATTTCAGAAGTTCATATTGGTCTATTCAGGGTTTCAATCTCTTCCTGAATCAATCTTGGGGGATTGTGTACTTCCAAGAATTTTTTCATTTTCCCTAGATTTTCTAATTTGTATGCATAGAGTTGTTCATAGTAGTCTCTAAGGATCTTTTGTATTTCTGTGGGATCAGTTGTAATATCACCTTTGTCATTTCTGATTGTGCATACTTGGATCTTCTTTTTGTTTGTTAATCTAGCTAGTGGCTTATTAATCTTATTTTTCTGAAAAACAAACTCTTGGTTTCATTGATTTTTATATGGATTTTAGCATCTCGATTACATTATTTAATTTTAGTATTTCTTTTGTTAGTTTTGAGGTTGATTTGTTCTCTTTTTTTTAGGTTCTTTAGGTGCTAAGTTAGGTTGTTAGCTTGAGATCTTTCTAACTTCTCGATGAAGGCATTTAGGTCTATAAACATTACTCTTAACACTACTGTGGATGCATCCCAGACATTTTGGTAAATTATATGACCATTTTCATTAATTACAAATAATTTTTAAATTTCTGCCTTAATTTAGATGTTCATTTAGGAGTTATTTAGGAGCAAGTTGTTAATTTCCATGTGTTTGTATAGTTTTGAGAGATCTTATTGATATTGATTACTGTTTTTATTGCACTGTTGTTCAAGAATATGTTTGGCATGATTTCAATTGGTTGAACTTACTGAGATTTGTTTTATGACTGTGTAGTTGATTTTAGTGTATGTTTCGTGTACAGATAAATATATATCTGGTAGTTGTTGGGTGGAGTGTTCTGTAGATATCTATCAGGTCCAGTTGGTCAAGTGTCAAGTTTAAGTCCATAATTTCTTTGTGAGTTTTCTGCCTTGATGAGCTATCTGACTCTATCAGTGGGGTGTTGAAGTATACCACCATTATTGTGTGGTTGTCTAAGTCTTTTTGTAGGCCAAGAAAAATTTGTTTTATAGGTCTGAGTGCTCTAATGTTGGGTGCATATGTAATTAGTGTATTAAAAGCTTCTTGTTGGATTGCCCCTGTTATTTTGTAATATTGTTCATTTTTCCATCTTTATTTTTATTGGCTTTAAGTTTGTTTTATCTGATATAAGAATATTGACTCCTGCCTTTTTTTGTCTTCCATTTACATGGAAAATCTTTCTCCACCCTTTTACTTTGAGCCTGTGAGTGTCATTATATTTGAGATGATTGTCTTGAAGACAATAGATGGTTGGGTCTTGTCTTTTCTCCAGCCTGACATTCTGTGTCTTTTAATTGGGGTGTTTATCCCATTTCCATTCAAGATTAGTATTGATCTGTGTGATTTTGATCGTGCCATTTTGTTGTTAGCTGATTGTTACGTAAATTTGACTGTGCGGGTTTCACGGCCTGTGGGCTATATGCTTAAGTGTGTTTTTGTGGTAACAGGTGTCGTTTTTTTGGTATCTGTGTTTGTTACTCCTTTAAGGACCTATTATAAAGCTGGTATAATTGAAACATATTCCCTCAGCATTTGCTTGTCTGATAATGATTTTATCTCCTCTTCACTTATGAAGCTTAGTTTGGGAAGATATGAAATTCTTGGTTGGAATTTCTTCTCTTTAAGGACATTGAAAGTAGGTCCCCAATCTTTTCTGGCTTGTAAGATTTCTGTCTCTAGTGAGAGTAAGTAAATTTTCAAGGACTTTATCCTCAAGTATATTTTCCAAGTTGTTTATTCTCTCTCCTTCTCTCTTTGGGATGCCAATGAGTTGTAGATTTTTATCTCTTTATACAATTCCATATTTTTCAGAGGTTTTGTTCATTTTACTTAATTCTTTTTTAAATTATTATTAGTTTTGTCTGACTGAGTTGATTTGTAGTACTGGTCTTCAAGTTCTGAGATTCTTTCCTCAGCTTGGCCTATTCTGCTGTAAATACTTGTGATTGTATTATGAAATTCTTGCAGTGAATTTTTAGCTCAGTAAGTTCAGTTTGGGTTTTTCTTAAAAGAACTATTTTATCTTTTAGCTCTTGAATTCTTTTATTGAATTGCTTGGCTTCCTTGGATTGAGTTTCAACTTCCTCCTTGCTCTCAATGAGCTTCCTTGATATCCAGAATCTGAATTCCATGCCTGCCAAGTCGTACATTTCAGATTGACTAATAATTGCTGGGGAGCTGGGGAGCTCATTTAGAGATAAGGAGACCCTCTGGCTTTTTAAATTTTCTGGATTCTTGTTTTGATTCTCTTTTACCTGGTAGGGTTGGTGTTCCTTTAAATGTGGTATAAATTGAATATACTCAGTTGGCTTCATTTCTGGAAGTCTTAAGAAGACAGACTCCGTACAGTGTCTTTGTTGTTGGATTCTTGCCCCGGGTTTCAAATGGGAGAGAATTAGCAAAGTGGTTTTGGTATTGTAGTTTGGGCTGCAATTCAATTGATGGTGCTTGAAAGCAATGGAATGGTAGATAGTTGCTCCTTTGTGTAACTTTGCATTTGCAGCTGTGCTTTGTGGTGAGAGGGGTAGAGAGGTGACACTCACCTGTACCCCACCCCGACCAGGTCCACTCCTGAGCCTTGTGGGAGGCAACTCTGAACTCCGGTACTCTATTATTATTTTTTGTTAGGTGTTTGAGGCCATGAGCGTCCCTCAGGCAGAGGTCTGGTAGGGAAATAAGCCACACTCTTACTGGATCAGCCCTGTTGAGGGAGGCATGCCTAGGTCCCACACCAGCCTGAGAATCTGTGCAACTCATCACTCTCAGTATTCTGAGAGTATGGGTCCCTCCTATACCTGGATATTGGGCTCAGAGTCCAGCTCAGCTCTCCTGAGCTGTGGGTCACAGCCCTGGAGCACCAGAACCTGCTCCTGGCTCCCTCTTCTGGACCCTTGAGTTTGTATTAATAGTACAGCTAGGATCCCAAAGGTCCATGGCAAGAGTGGAAAGTTTCCCAGTCCCTTCACTCACTGCAACCCCAGGAGCTGTTCAGGAGCAGAAAACAGTCTTAGCGTTCAGGCACCCCACACAGGGTTCCCAGCTTCCTTCTTCTTCGGCTTTAGCATCTATGTCTTTTTATCCATCCACATTTCTTCGCCATAGATCTGTTTAAATTATGTTGGTTTAGTTGAAATTCTAGTCTATTTCCATGGGAGTGGCACTTCTTGGCTGCATTTAGTTGGCCATCTTCTTTTTGTGATTCTTCATGACTTTATGGATGAAATTTTAAAGCCAGATCCAGATGATCTTCTAGGCCTTTTATGATATGGACTTTGCTTGGTGCTCCAACCAAAGTTTCCAACTTTACCACTATTCTATGCTACATTGCTGTTTTTAAGATTGTACCTTCATTTTGAACTTTCTTTCCCTTGTTTATTCAGTTAATGTTTCCTCTGATAAGGTGCTAATACAACACTATATCTGGGCATGATTCATTGCTACCTTCATCACAATCACAGACTATATTTTAAGTCATCTTCTCTGTGGTCTCTTAGCACTGTATACATATTGGTTTTGGCATTTGCACTTTAACATAAATGCATGAAAATGTGTGTCTCCTTTACCAGACCATAAATACTAAAGGAACACTTCATAATATAGCTCTCAAATTTTGTTTTTCTATGTTTAAATGATTGCAAAGATCGTTTTATTTGATTTTTTTTATATAACTACCAGTATTTTTATGTTTCATACTTGCCATAATACAAAATATATAGCACTTTGCCAGATAACAAAACTTCAACTTACCATAGCTTGATTTGCCATAATGTGTGGGAAATAATTGGACCACAACCAAACTTTCAGCTAAAGTTACCTGAATTGAGGCCCAGATATAAATTCCTTTTACACTATTTTTATAGTGATGCATCAAGTTATAAAAATGTTAATTAAGGGATTTTAGAGAATGTTTATATTTTGTAATTTATTATGCAAATTAAGTTATGCTTAAACATGTAGATCATCTCCCTAAAATCCAAAGAGAGAAAAATTAAATTAGTAAGAGCATGCTACTTTGATGGGTGTAAAAGGAGTTAAAATTGTTGGCTCTCAGTTAATCTTATATGAGTAGCAACTATCATAAGGAGCATTTTAAAAAATGTTGTAGGTATGTTACAAAATCTAATTTCTTTATATTATTTTCTTTCAGATATTGGTGATTGTTGTGGTTGTTGTTTTGTTGTTTTTTTGTGGAAAGTAGTCTCCCGTGGTTCCTGAGTGAATATTCCTTGCTGAATATTTCAAATAGCAAGGTCCAATATATCCTGGTAATAAGCAGTGCTAGTCACATCAACACTTAAGTAGGTCAAGAAAACCATGTGACTACTATGCAACTCCTTGCTCCCCAGGGGATGGGGATGGCTTATTCTTTGCTTGCTACAAGAAGTGTTGAGCTCTTGAACTGGACTTCTCTGTAATGGTACCACCCACCACACTACACTCTCCGTCAGGGCCCATCTTGTCTCCCCATGGGGCTCTACCATAGGAAATCCTGCATTACCATGCTGAAACTCCTGCTGTTTGCTCTGTGGTGAGTAATAAACTATTTTGCTGGATTCCTTGAGTTTCAGCACTACTGAGTTCTGGAAAACCTACCTGCTTTCTTTTCTTAGTCATCTTATCACTCTTTGCTGCAATCTCAAGTTGTGATTCTTCCCTGATAGATTTCTTCTCTTTCTAATTAAGTGTGTTTCATGTTCAAATATAATCATAGTCTCAATATATGATATTTCTCTTATGTTACAAATGAAACTGTATACCATGTGAAAAACATAAGGACTACTATATACAGTACTTTGGCAGCAGCTGCCAATTTATAAGGCCTTTTAAAATTGGATGTATGACATACAGGCTGATGTATTTGAAGACTACCCCCCCTTTTTTTTTCACTATCTTTGGTTCTTCATGATTTGAAGACATGCTTCATTATGTTTTTTTTTTTAAATTATACTTTACATTCTGGGATACATGTGCAGAACGTGCAGGTTTGTTACGTAGGTATACATGTGCCATGGTGGTTTGCTGCACCCATCAACCCGTCATCTACATTAAGTATTTCTCCTAATGCTATCCCTCCCCTTGCCCCCCAACCCTGACAGGCCCTGGTGTGTGATGTTTCCCTCCCTGCGCCCATATGTTTTCATTGTAGAACTCTCACTTAGGAGTGAGAACATGCAGTGTTTGGTTTCTTGTTCCTGTGTTAGTTTGCTGAGAATGATGGTTTCCAGCTTCATCCCTGTCTCTGCAAAGGACATGAACTAATTCTTTTTCATGGCTGCATAGTATTCCATGGTGTATATGTGCCATATTTTCTTTATCCACTCTAACATTCATGGACATTTGATTTGGTTCCAAGTCTTTGCTATTGTGAATAGTGCTGCAGTAAACATACGTGTGCATGTATCTTTATAGTAGAATGATTTATAATCCTTTGGGTATATACCCAGTAATGGGATTGCTGGGTCAAACGGTATTTCTGGTTCTAGATCCTTGAGGAATTGCCACACTGTATTCTACAATGGTTGAACTAACTTACACTCCCACCAACAGTGTAAAAGCGTTCCTATTTCTCCACATCCTCTCCAGCATCTATTGTTTCCTGACTTTTTAATGATCGCCATTCTAACTGGTGTGAGATGGTATCTCATTGTGGTTTTGATTTGCATTTCTGTAATGACCAGTGATAATGTGCTTTTTTTCATATGTTTGTTCGCCTCATAAATGTCTTCTTTTGAGAAGTGTCTGTTCATATCTCTTGCCCACTTTTTGATAGGGTTGTTTTTCTGTTATGAATTTGTTTAAGTTCCTTTTAGATTCTAGATATTAGCCCTTTGTCAGATGGATAGATTGCAAAAATTTTCTCCCATTCTGTAGGTTGCCTGTTCACTCTGATGATAGTTTCTTTTGCTGTGCAGAAGCTCTTTGGTTTAATTAGATCCCATATGTCAATTTTGGCTTTTGTTGCCATCTTTTGGTGTTTTATTCATGAAGTCTTTGTCAATGCCCATGTCCTGAATTGTATTGCCTAGGTTTTCATCTAGGGTTTTTAAGGTTTTAGGTCTTATGTTTAAATCTTTAATCCATCTTGAGTTAATTTTTTTATAAGTTGTAAGGAAGGGGTCCAGTTTCAGTTTTCTGCATATGTCTAGCCAATTTTCCCAACACCATTTATTAAATATGGAATCCTTTCCCCACTGCTTGTTTTTGTCAGGTTTGTCAAAGATCAGATGGCTGTAGATGTGTGGTGTTATTTCTGAGGCCTCTGTTCTCTTCCATTGGTCTATATATCTGTGTTGGTACCAGTACCATGCTGTTTTGGTAACTGCAGCCTTGTAGTATAGTTTGAAGTCAGGTAGCATGACATTGCCTTCAGTAGTTTTTTTTCTAATTCTGTGAAGAAAGTCAATGGTAGCTCAATGGGACTACCATTGAATCTATAAATTATTTTGGGCAGTATAGCCATTTTCACGATATTGATTCTTCCTTCTATGAGCATGGAATGTTCTTCCATTTGTTTGTGTCCTCTCTTATTTCCTTGAGCAGTGGTTTGTAGTTCTCCTTGAAGAGGTCCTTCACGTCCCTTGTAAGTTGTATTCCTAGGTATTTTATTCTCTTTGTAGCAATTGTGAATGGGATTGGCTCATGATTTGGCTCTCTGTTTGTCTATTATTTGTGTATAGGAATGCTTGTGATTTTTGCACATTAATTTTGTATCCTGGGACTTTGCTGAAGTTGCTTATCAGCTTAAGGAGTTTTTGGGCTGAGACAATGGGGTTTTCTAAATATACAATCATGCCATCTGCAAACAGAGATAATTTGACTTCCTCCCTTCCTATTTGAATATCCTTTATCATTATGTTCTTAAAATATTCATTCAGCTGGGCATGGTGGCTCAGGACTGTAATCCTAGCACTTTGGGAGGCCGAGGTGGGCGGATCACCTGAGGTCAGGAGTTCAAGACCAGCCTGGCTAACATGGTGAAACCCCGTCTCTACTAAAAATACAAAAATTAGCTGGGCGTGATGGCATATGTCTGTAATCCCAGCTACCTGGGAGGCTGAGGCAGGAGAATTGCTGGAACCCAGGAGATGGAGGCTGCAGTGAACCGAGATCATGCCACTGCACTCCAGCCTGGGTGACAGAGTGAGACTCCATCTCAATTAAAAAAAAATAAAAAATAAAAAAATCATTATTCAATGTAATCATTGATGTGATTACTCTGATTATTTATCCATGTGGGCCAATGTTCATTGTAATGTACACATGAAAATTGAGACTCCATCCAATAAGCTTATTTTTTTCTGAAATAAATTTAGCTTCATTACATGTAAGTTAATTCTAAGAAAGCGTTTGCTTCTACTATTCTTAATCTTTTGTTTCTGCTTCTTTCATGTCTATAAAACAGATTTTCTGTAGATATACCACTCAAGGAACATGAGAAAACAACTTTTTCAATTGCAAGCCTTCCTCAACTCTGTCATTTAGTAATATGCATGGTGAAATTTTAAGTGGAAACATAGTGCTAATTTTGGCTTTCAAAAATCAATTTACCATGAAATCCATCCTTCCCCACCTCCGGCAAAGAAACAAAAAAGTAAATAGTGACACTTGGTGAAAGACTGTTCCCATAGAATGGTGCGATATACCTCTTTGTTTGTATACTGACAAAATATAGCAAATGATTTGTGTTCTAAAGTTCTGTATGTTATTGTGGATTGGTGGTAAGATGAATTTGTTAGTATATACAAATTTAACACCATGATTTTTTTTGTAATATTGTCAGCCATAGCTTCCTAAATGATTAATGCAGTACACCTTAGCATTAGTAGTGATTTTCTTTTTCAAATCCAAATTACAGGTCTTTACACAAAATAATCATAATTTTACTATGATTACTGTTATTAATTTTAATGTTATTTATTATCAATATAAAATATTATACAAATGCTCAGTAAAATGTCTTTTACTGAGCAATTGCTTCTGAGCACTATTCCCGCTATTGATGAGTATTCCCTCTATTAAGCACTGTTCCCTCTATTTATAGGTGAGTAATTGATCCCAAATATTTAGCAGTTGAACAAAGTGAAATGATAGTGCCCTAGATTTAAGCTGGATCTTTCTGATGAGAACATTCAAACTATAAACAAGCACATAATCTGCTTCCATTAACAAAAAAATATGCACATGTTTAGATAAACTATATATTGCTGATATTAAAAAATGAAAATTAAATTGGTGGGGACTGTAGAGTTAATAAAATTCTCAGGTGGCCTTTTAATCGTGATCTTTTGTTGTTAATTATAATGTTTACTCAAATAACAGGATAGATGAGATCTAAACTGTAGCCTTGATTTTAATAAGCACATGACTTTTTCATACATATCATTCCATTGCATTTGATTCAGTTTTTATATCGCTGCTATAGCAGAATGCCACAGGCTGGGTAATTTATAAAGAAAAAGAGTTTATTTGTCTCACAATTCTTGAGGCTGGGAAATCTAAGCTTATGGTGTTATCACCTAGTGAGGGCTTTTCCTGCTATGTTCTAACATGGCAGACGGCCATGTGAACACACTAGACACAGAGAGGAAATGAGGGCCAAAGTTATCCTTTTATCAGGAGCCCACTCCCACAGTAACTAGCCCACTCTTGTGTTAATGGCATTAATCCGTTCAATAGGGTGGAGCTCTCATGAACTAATCACCTCTTAAAGGCCCTGCCTCTTAATACTGTTACAGTAGCAGTTGATTTCAACCTGAGTTTTGGAAAAGATATGCAAACCATAAATTTCCCTGAATGCTTTTCTGCATTTTAATTTCTCTTTTAGGGTCATTGTAAGCCAATATAATAAGAAATAATTTTGGAGAGTGAAATTTGAGTAATGAAGCAATCCAGCAGATCTGAATCTCAAACCAAATAGTTTTAAAACATGTCTTGTTATAATCTATAGAAATTTCTTGTTTGTTTACTTTTCCATCACAAATATCTTAGAACATATAAATGGTATCTTGGTTATTTGAAGGGATTGGTGCTTTCAGAGCTAGCCCAAGTGGCTCTTTTTGCTTTCTAACCACTGTTTCTTATTAGTATCCTAATCATATCATTTGTGCATCTACAGGGCAAGGTGTTCCTGAGGGCAGTTGAGCTTGGCAAATGATATTTAAAATAAGCAATAATGAAAACCTTTGTGAAACTGGGTTTGGAAACACAGAACTAAAACCTAGCTTAAAGGCCAGCTTGCTTTCTTTGGGTGTTACTATATGTAATTGTATGCTTTAAGGGATTAGATTTATCCATTTATAAACCTGCATCAGTGTAGAAAGTGACTTGCTCTGCTTTTCCTATAGAGAGAAAATATCATGAGCATATTAATTTTAAATTAAGCCAGATAACAAGATCTATATATGAATAATAGGATTTATAGTTTTGGGGAAAAATCACAAAAAGGTTTTAATGAGAAAATATTACTTATCCTAAACAGAACTATGTTAGTAAAATGCCTATGCCATGTAATTTATAACACTTGGATAATATTAAAATGTGATGAATGAGGGAAACTTAATAATCTTTGGGATATTTAGAGGTTTTCTAATTAGATAAAACAAGCAATTAAATTCACTTATAAGGGCATCCTTGTAAGGACAGATAAACTGTCACTGCACCATCCAAATTTGATTTTGCCAATTTTACTTTCCAATGAAGTTCAGAAATGGTAAGACTGTGTTGCTGCAATTAAGTGTCATTTATTCTTCATTTCTGTATTTAGCAATGAATTATTAACCATCTACTATTTATGCTGTCCTATGTTCAAGGAACTGGGTATGTAAAAGTCAATAAAGCACAGCCCATTCTGTCAAGTATATCAAGTAAGAAAAAATTCAATTAGCTCCTTTGTTAATTGCATGCTTTATTTGCTGGAAAACTTGAAGTTTTGTGCCTCGGGCAATTATTTGTCTATGTTAAAAGCAAGACTTCAGAGTCTTCAGATGTCTTTGTTGATGTTTATGATTGTGTTTAAAAGAGTATTTTATGTATCATTAGATAAAGAAAATGTGTAAACATACTGTTATGTCCGGCCTAAAGCAGGACTAAATCATTACAATCTAGTGAAACAGTTTATTCTCAATGTCGAATTATGGTATATTAAAAATGATGAACTTCTATTGTTTCCTTAAACCATCTAAAATAGAGGTTCATGAACTATTTCAGATAATTTGGGAAAACTCTGATCATGTATGTTACTTAAAAGCAGTAGCACTTTGTTGGGTTGTCTAACTGAATGTTTCCTTTGCTCTGAGTTTTCTGAAGTGGATACTCTTCTACTCCTCTGCAACAAACAATTTAAAGAAGTTTAACTCCTGACAGCCTTTTACTACATAAAAGTCCAGCACACTGATGTACTGTATTGTTCACCTGTGATCCTCTTTTATGATATTTTATCTTGAGCTATTCTAAGATTGCCACTTACTGTGTATAGAAGGGCAAATAGGGTTAAGCAAAGGAAAAGTTAACAAAATGAGGGAAAAAAGTTGCCTGATGGTACTACAGTGCTAGAGGGTCAGTTCTATTTATAAAAGAAGATGTGGATTAGCTCACTGAACATTTACAATTCAGATGACAAGAAGATACTTTTAAGAGCTGATTTACTATTCTCAGGCCAGTGCTCATGCCAAGTGAGCTAAAGTAACTTCACCAGCTGAGCTAGTGGAAGTACTTAATATACTCATCTAAGATCTTCATGAGAGTAGCTTTTTGGCTGCAACAACAAGGCCTGAAGCTGTCAACCTTCTCCACTGTCACCAGTAGATATCACTGCAGTCAATTAGAATTACTATAGAGGATTTGAGACAGACACACATGCATCTTTTCGTTCTTGCATAGGCAGCTGCCCAAAGATCACTAATCCGTGACTGGAGGGAGGAAGTCTTGGCAGTGATGCAGCTTGTTCATTGGCTGAACAGCTATAATCATCTGTCCAAACGTCTTAGTAGGGAACATCAGACTGATTTCTCAAAATGGGGAAATGAGTTTCCTTTTAAAACCCATGTGATATATCTTGGTATATTTAAACAGACTAACCTTAGTCACAAAGGCAACTTTCCTGTGATTTGAAAATGAACAGACAAAAACTGGAAAAAGGAAATGAACATGTTAAGTGTTCACCCTCTTAAGTATTTCCCATAATAGTAATAATTGTAATAACAATAAGCTTGGTGGTAAGTTTTTTTTTGCAAATGTTTCTTCAGTAATGAAAAACATTGGGGTGGCTCACACCTGTAATCCCAGCCACTTTGGGAGGCCGAGGAGGGATGATGGCCTGAGCTCAGGAGTTTGAGACCAGCCTGGCCAACATGGTGAAACCCTGTTTCTACCAAAAATACAAAAAATTAGCTGAGTGTGGTGGCATACACCTGTAGTCCCAGCTCATCTTGAGGCTGATGCAGGAGGATTGTATGAGCCTGGGAGGTGGAGGTTGCAGTGAGCTGAGATCGTGTCATTGTACTCCAACCTGGGAGACAGAGTGAGACCTCGCCAGAAAAACAAAAACAAAAATAAAAAAAAAAAAAAGAAAAACATCTGGAAACTGTTTATTATAAACATGAGTAATTATATTATTCACTATTTTAACTTAAAGATTTTGGCAGTTAAGCACTCTATTAACTCTATTGTCTAATTAAATTACAACTTAGAATATTTTTATATTCTTAAAGATTGTTTTACATTTTGGGTTTTCAAAAAGCATGAGTTGTGTGGCAAAGAATAAATAATTTTTCTATTCCTGAAAGTTAACTAATTATTTATTAGAAAGTCAGAAATATGTGGAAAGCAAAGGAATATTTGAGAAAGTGATATGAAATTAATAAGTGGTAAAAAATTAATAAAATTAATATTAGAGTTTCCTTTGAGCTAATCCTTTATTTATTTATTTTTTTCCTTGAGACAATGTCTTGCTCAGTTGCCCAGGCTGGAATGCAATGGTGCGATCTTGGCTCACTGCAACCGCCGCCTACCAGGTTCAAGTGATTCTCCTGCCTCAGCCTCCTGAGTAGCTGGGACAACAGGCGTCTGCCATCATGCCTGGCTAATTTTTGTATTTTTTTTTTTTTTAGTAGAGATGGGGTTTCTCCATGTTGGCCAGGCTGGTCTTGAGCTCCTGACCTCAGGTGATCGACCCGCCTCAGCCTATCACTATATCGTGAGATGCTATACTGTTATTGTCAGAAGTAATTAATTCCAACACATTCTTTTTGAGAAAAAGTTGTTATGTCATGGCACAAAAAGAAAACCACACCCATTATATTTATAAAGTAAGTAAATTATTATGTAGATTCTGAGAAGCATGACTTTAAGCAAATGCCTATATAATACTAAGTGAAATGAATTCTTAGAATTAATATTATAATTTGTTTCAAACTATTCTCTCTTACTTCAGTTTGCGGAAATAATAATCTACACAGAGTTGACACATAGCTAATTCTAGGGAGAAAAAAGACAAAATTTAGCATTCACCTTGATTATACTGGTGTTTTATTTGAAAGTTCATTAGATTATTAGCCCGTATATTTAGGTTGCATATTGTAAGAGCTTTAGATGTATGGTTCAGGGGTTAGAAGTCTCAAGCAGTCACAAAGTGGTGCAGCAACTTCGATCATTATGTCTGTCTTCACTGAATGAACACTCAAAGCAAAAAGTGTGAACGCTTCTCTCTTACCTCTCTGTATCAGAAAGAAAATTCTCTCTCTTTTTTCTCTCTGGACAAAATTGCAGTGAAAAAAGATGCTGAGGAATGACTTTCTGGCAAGGAAGAAAGAGCTCGTTAGGGCTGAATAGCCTGTGCCATATACACTCTAATTATGACAAAAAACGCCATTTTTTTTGTTGTTGTTTGTTTGTTTGTTTGAGACTGAGTTTCACTCTTGTTGCCCAGGCTGGATTGCAATGGCACGATCTCGGTTTACTGCAACCTCTGCCTCCCGCCTCCCAGGTTCAAGCAATTCTCCTGCCTCAGCCTCCTGAGTAGCTGGGATTACAGGCATGTGCCACCACGCCCGGCTGATTTTGTATTTTTAGTAGAGATGGGGTTTCTCCATGTTAGTCAGGCTGGTTTTAGACTCCTGACCTCAGATGATCTGCCTGCCTTGGCCTCCCAAAGTGCTGGGATTACGGGCGTGAGCCTCCTCACCCGGCTAAGGCCATCTTTTAAATTCCTCATTTAAATAGGTGTGAAATCAGAGCCATTGCATTTGTATTATGTGTGTGTTGGTAATCCTGGAATCTGGTTGTAGAAGCAATGTGAGCTTTGAAACTTTTGTGGCCTGTGAACATTTAAAAATCACAGAGAGAAGAGTCTCATTGATGGAGAACATTATTGCATTTGATTACCTTGATAAAACTTATCAGTTATACACCTTTCTCAAGTCATATTTCTTAATAATTGATATTTACAGAGTAAACATTTTGTCAACAATAAACATAATTGACATGACTTGTTTTTCAATTACATAACATTTTAGCTTATAATGAACCTGTAAAATATAATGGAACTGAGTAAGAACATTAGGAGATGCGTCTTTAAAGTGTCCTGTTAAGTTTGAGACTGATTTATGGTGAACTACACAAAAATACCGTATATTGAGAAGATAAAAATTATTGTCCACCCAGCCACATTTTGCCCCTTAAGATTGGGGGAAGCAAAATTGGGACTAGTATTTAGTGCCATGACAGATTAATGCTATTTCCTTTCTATTTTTCATTTTGCTATTTGACATACTAAAATAGAAAATGGAGATAGTAAAGAAGGGACTTGTTTGTGGAAAAATTGGAAATAAATCTCAGAGCTTTGATAAAAGACATATTACTGGAAAGATTTGCATTGAATTATTTTGCCAAATTCAAAGCTCTGTATAAATGAGATTCAAATAAGTGTAATATTTTGAAAAAAGTTATCTCCCTGCTCTAATTTGTTTCTAGTAAATGCAAAAGCACTTTAGAAGAGTAAAAGCTCGGTGCTAAGTATCACTCTCAAAATATAGTGCACAATTTTATATTGAACTTAATCTTGAATATCTACATTGACTTCCCATAATATCCGGAACTTTTAAGGCAAACATTTTTCTTGCCTAACCATGTATTTCAATATTGTTTTAAAGTTTGATTGCTTTCCAGAAGACTATTGTCATCTTGCTGCTGATTTATTCACTGAAGAAGGTGTTAGAAGTGCCCAGCAAAACATCGTATGCAAATAGACCAATATCACATGCATTTGTGACTGATAGTGATGATGAAGACATTATAACCAATCTACTCCATTGTCCTATTTGCTTGGAAAATACTGTCTTTATTAAATCAATGAAAATGATTTATTCATTATTGCAAGTCACATAATATCACATATTTCACAAATGTTAAGGCAGTTTATAAGTAAATGTTTATAAGTAAAATTAAGATGAGTATTAATCTCACTGACTAATAAGGAATTTTATAAAGCACTTGATTATCTCATTGCTGTGAAGATATATATATGTATATATATGTGTGTATATATATGTATATATATGTGTATATATATGTATATATGTGTATATATGTATATATATGTGTATATATATGTATATATATGTATATATGTATATATATGTGTATATATGTATATATGTGTGTATATATGTATATATATGTGTGTATATATGTGTATATATATGTGTATATATATGTGTATATATGTGTATATATGTATATGTATATATATATATATGTGTGTATATATATATAGCTTAATCTATGTGGATGGGAATAAGTAAATAGATAAAGTGTTCCAGGAATTGGTTCCTATAAATTTGCTGAGATGGATTTTATCTTTTTTTCCACTTTAATTCATTATTTTTATTCCAACACAAAGGATCAAACAAAATAATTACCTGGCTTCTCTAAAAAGTTTTATCCTTTTCTAAAAACTTTTATGATCCTTTAAAAGTATTTATTGAGTACTTACTGTATGCTGGAAACTTTGTTAGGTACTAAAGATATCCAGTTTCCATTTATTTATCTTCATGTCTTACCCAAAGAAATTGTATCCTTCTAGTGGGCTCACTTAGTTATTTACTATAATTCTCAACACACTATCTTGCCTCACTGTATGTTCCTTCTGTATTCCATGATGCAGAAACTGTACTGGAGTTCCAGTGGAAGTGTGTAGAGAGTTTAGAAAAGGCCTTTTCAAAAAAGCATGTCAGCAACATTTTAATCAAAATATAGTATGTATGACTTGCAAATTATCTTTTTTTGTATAAACTCCATCACATATCTCCTGCGCTAACACAGAATATTAGCATTTAACAGCACATGAAACACACAGACACACACACACACACAACACACACAAATAGAATGAGACTCTTGGAGAAGTACTCCCTCCCCTCAATTTTACCCTTTACCATTGCAATAGAATTAAACAGTTGTTGGGCTTTGTGGAAGGAAACTGGGGTAGAAGATGAAGCCCTAGGTGAACATTAGGAAGATCATTGGTTCTAGTATGGGCACTGACTTTTATTGTGACCTTAAAACTTTTTTTCATCTTTATGCCTCGGTTTTCCTTTTAAGGTGTTTTCATACTTACCTTACTACCTCACTTATTAATGAAAATTATATATATGTGTAGGTATAATCCATCTTATAATACTTTTTTTTTACTTTAAATTTTTCTAATAAACATACAAAATGGCTGGGCATGGTGGCTCATACCTGTAATCCCAGCATTTTGGGAGGCTGAGGCAGGCAGATTGCCTCAGGTCAGGAGTTCGAGACCAATCTGGCCAACATGGTGAAACCTTGTCTCTATTAAAGATACAAAAAATTAGCTGGATGTGGTGGTGTGCACCTGTAATCCCAGCTACTCACGAGGCTGAGGCAGGGGAATTGAACCAGGGAGGTGGAGGTTGCAGTGAGCCGAGATCGTGCCACTGCACTCCAGCCTGGGTGACATAGAGAGACTCCGTCTCAAAAAAAAAAAAAAAAAAAAAAAACAGAAACATACAAAATTTAGTTAGCTATCTTTTGTTCCTTAAGAAGGTGTTTTATTACTGTGAGGTTGGTCACTACATTTAATATGCTCTACCATGAACATTTAAAAATCTAAATGAATATTTTGATTTAGTATTACAATGTCATTATATATGATATAAAAATAAGAGCCATTTCAAACCAATTTTTACCTATATATAAAGACTTAAATTTTTATTTAATAATTAAAATTAAT
Source organism: Homo sapiens (assembly GCF_000001405.40). NCBI lineage: Eukaryota > Metazoa > Chordata > Mammalia > Primates > Hominidae > Homo > Homo sapiens. Next base: position 133,009,299 of record NC_000004.12, on the reverse strand, counting down.
CTGTTGAAAATGCATTATTTTTATTCTCAACCCTTCTTAATCTCAGTTATTATTTTCAAAAACTTATAATGAAGAATTGCTAAGAACAAGGAGTATTCTGTGTTGTAGTTTGACAGGAAGAAATATAATTCACTACATAAATCAAATTTATTATGATTATCATTAAGATCAAAGCAAATTTCTTTCCTTCAATTAAATGTTCTTGTTTCATAGTTAAAACAATAAATTTATAAATATGTCCTTTTGTATGTCTTAGGCATTTGATAATATATATTTATGAGTCAATATCATATGTCATTATAAAATATGTTTAACACGTGTATAGTTGAATACATTTACATTTCTAAAAGTAAAGGGTTCTCTGAGATCATTTGATAATATTTGTTAAAATACATATCGGTGAAATACTTTGCATTTGTTTCACTAAGTTTTTATTTTATTTTATTTTATTTTTTGAGACAGAATCTCGTTCTGTCCCCCAGGCTGGAGTGTAGTGGCGTGATCTCAGCTCACTGCAACCTCCACCTCCTGGGCTCAAGCGATTCTCCTGCCTCAGCCTCCCAAGGAGCTGGGGTTACAGGAGTACACCACTACACTCAGCTAATTTTCACATTTTTAGTAGAGATGAGGTTTCACCATGTTGGCCAGGCTGATCTTGAACTCCTGACCTCAGGTGATTTGCCCACCTTAGCCTCTCAAAGTGCTGGGATTACAGGTGTGAGCCACTGCGCCTGGCCCAAAGTTTGTTTTTATTTTTGCATTTCTTATTAGGATCTTGAGGAAGTGCAGAAACAGACTTTTTAACAGACTAGGTTCTTTGAATTCCATGTTCCTTGTTCTAGTTGAGGTTCTTTTGGTTACAAATAATGGAAATTCATTGAGCTACTTAAGAAAAGGGGAGCAGAGTGTTAACATTGTTAGTTCTTCAGTGTTCAGATATCCCCTAGAATAGGAGGACAGGAAACAAGAAATCAAGTGAATCTGGAATGTGAATTATAATCAGTTAATTCTGTTTTTACTTTTCTCTGTCTCAATTCTTACCTGCCTCTTCCTGTGTATTTTCTCCTGTAAAAAAGGTCCACTCCCCTCTCTCACTGGGATTATATTTCTCAGGTCAGCACTTTCTATTGTTAAAAGAAAAACTGACACAACAATAAAATCATAGAGTTAATTTGAGCAAACACCAATTCACGAATTGGGAAGCAATTGTTTACTACTCTAGTAAACAAGTTTGTTTCACACAGGGATATGTATTAGCAATTCTGAAACTACACATATACGAGGTTTCAGCAAATATGTAAATGTATTGTAGATAATACAAACCAATTTTTTATTTAGTTGGAAAAAGAAGTTTCAAAGGAGCAAAAGGGTAATAATGGAATGAACCCTGTGGTATTAACCCCTGTGGACTGATCAGATATATCAGTATGAACTCACATTTTGCTTTATTTTGGGGTGTGTGTATGTTTGACATTATTCATATATGTGATGTGCATATATATACATTATATATAAACACAGATTAATAAATAAATAAATACACAAATATATATAAACATGAGCTAGTACAGATAACATTTATTTCCACATTCTGTCGGTGGAGTGGGCCTACAACTGATGACACTCCGGTAATAAAGAGCGTACCTAGCACTAGGAAAATAGTTCCTAACTACCACTATTCGGTAAAAGAGACAGGGCTCCTTGGAAAAGTAGTTCACAATTTATTCCAAGTCTGGAAAAGGTAAAAGCCAAGAGGACCCTGAAACAACTCATCGTGGCAGAAGGTAAGGAAGGCTAACAACAACTAAAACACAAAGATGAGAGCATATCAAAAGTACACAGGAGACAATTTGTTTTTGTTGTTTTGTTTTGTTTTGTTTTTTAAAAATCTACCCCTCTGAAATAATGAGCAGGACCAGGAAGGAACTCCAGAGATGTTTGGTTCTCACCTAGTGAAAACAAGCGTGCATAAAACTACCCCTCTAAGATACTAAGTGGCCAGGACTGGCGCCGGGAATGGTGAATGCTGGTGGGAATGATACACAAGAGACAGTTTGAAAGAGACAATTTGAAAAAGCCCCAAGTGGTCAACGCTCAAACAGTTTGAAGACAAGTATAAATAAAAATAGTATTGGCTTTAGACTAAAGAAAAAATAAATATCCATGAGTGCATACTGATATAAAGAAATGACTGAATAAATAATATATGGAAGATGACAACTCTTACAGAATAAATCCATTTTTAAAATGTGAAATAAATGAGGAAAACAGAAAATCACCATTAGAATGCCACAGGCATAAATGCACAATCCACCATGAATGTTAAAATTAGTGGGTAAAAGTTTCAGGCAAACAGAATATTTGCGTAGTCTCCATGTAACGCCACATAATATTTATTAATTACCAAGGAAGGAGGAGATCTATAGTATATAAACCCGGGTTATGTTACCTTATCCAAGTGATGAAAGTTAGTATCACCAGTAGATGGCTCACGCCTGTAATCCCAGCACTTTGGGAGGCCGAAGCAGGCGGATCACGAGGTCAGGAGATCGAGACCATCCTGGCTAACCCGGTGAAACCCCGTCTCTACTAAAACTACAAAAAATTAGCCAGGCGTAATGGCGGGCGCCTGTAATCCCAGCTCCTCAGGAGGCTGAATCTGGAGAATGGCGTGAACCCGGGGGGCGGGGCTTGCAGTGAGCGGAGATCGCGCCACTACACTCCAGCCTGGGCGACAGAGCAAGACTCCACCTCAAAGAAATAATAAAATAAAATAAAATAAAATAAAATAAAATAAAATAAAATAAAATAAAATAAATAAATAAATACCACCAGTAGAAAGCCATAATATCATGTTCTCCTTGATAAGATATGATGAAAAAAAATTTACCTCTGTGGTATTGCTCCACAATTCATTACTCCAGTTGAATAACGAGAAAGCATTGAAATAACCAAAATTGTGGAACACATTACAAAATTCATGAACAGCACGCTTCAGTTTCTATGTCATGAAAAATAAGGAAAGACTGAGAAACCATCACAGATTAGAAGTGTCAAAGGAACAATGGAAACTGAATATAATGTGGGCCCCTTAATTGAAACTTGGAACAAGAAAAAATATATTATTGGAAAAACTGGTGAAATCCAGATTAAGTTCGTAGTTTCATTTACAATATTGTGCCATTATTGACCTCTTAGTTTTGACAAATGTGCCCTGGTTACATAAAATGTTAATATGAGGGAAAGCTGGGATGAGAAGTACACAGAAAATATCTGTAATATCTTTGCAACTCTTCTGTAAATCTAACATCATTTTAAAAATTAAATTAAAAATATTTAAAATCAGTGGGTCTTTGAATATGTGCCAGAAATGTGGAAAGACTGTGGGGATTATCTGTACTTTAAAAGTTTCAGTGAGTTATCTTGTAATATGAACTTCGTCTGGTGCAGAGTTTAGAGTTGTAATTTTAATTAGGAATTCAATTTTCTATAGTCTAAAAAATATAGACTCCCTACTACCTACCAACATTCTCACTTCCCATCTGTTGTTATACTTTTAAAAAAATATTACAGCTTTATACAGGTAAAATTGATGTTAATAAACACAATTAACAAGCATCATTGGCTAATTTTGATACATGTCTATACAAAAGGTATCCTCACCATAATCAAGAAGGTGAACATGCATCATCTCCATACTGCCTCATGTCTCCTGTAATCCCACCCCTCCCTGCTTCCTTATCCTTCCACCTCCCCAGGACAACACTGTTCATCTTTCTGTACTATGTTGGTTTGCCGTTTCTAAAGATTTATGTAAATGAAATCACACATTATTCTTTCTGACTTCTTGTACTCAGCATAATCATTTTGAGATTCATCCATGTTATTATGTATCAATAGTTAAATCTTTTTTAATTGCTGAGAAGTCTTTCATTATGTAGATATTACATAATTTATATTTTTATCTGCTGATTGCCATATGAGCCATTTCCAGTTTAAAGTTATTACAAGTAAAACTGCTATGAGCACTTGTGCACAAGTATTTGTTATGAATGTATGCTTTCATTCATCTGGATTTTATGGTAGACATCTGTTTAACACTTTAAGAAACTGTCAAACCATTTTCTAAATTGCTTGTACCATTTTACATTCCCACCAGTGGTGTATAACATTTCCAATTCCAACACATTCATACTATCATTTGGTATAGACAGTCTTTATAGCCATTCTAATAGAAGTATAGTGGTATATATTGTGGTTTTAATTTAACTTAGCTTTTCCTGAGTAATACTGAGAATCTTTACATATACTTTTCATCTCTTTATGTATTCTCTTTAATGAAGTATCTGTGGAAAAATTTTATTTGTTTAATTTTTTTGTTTTATTATTAAGTTTTGAGAATCTTTAATATATTCCAATACAAGTCCTGTTCAGATATCTTCATTATGAATATTTTTATCCCATCCTGTGGCTTGATTTTTTATTCTCTAACAAGTCTTCTACCTACAGTTAGGATGGTATTTTTTTTCCTTATTTCCTTTTCAATGTCTTATTATTATTTATTAATAATAAATGTCTGGTTATTTAAAGTTAGCTTTTTTGTAATAAGTATAGTTAGGTCTCTCTTGTTTTTATTTTTATTCAATTTTTTTATCAATTTTTTTTGGACTATTTTTCTTATTTATTTGTACTATGTGGAACACTTGCATATAATGTGTCTATTTATATTAGCACTAAGACTATGACCTTCCTTTTGGATTCTATTTGCCATAAATGCTCTTTGTTCTCTTTTTACTTTTTTCTACATTTTTTGATTAATAAATTTTATGATTTCATTTTATCTCCTTTGTTGGTTTATTATGTATAGTTCTTTTTTTTTATTGGTTTCTTTTGGATTTATCATATTCATCATTAATTTAATGCAGCCTAACTCCAATTGATATTATAGTATTTCATTTATAGTACAACAATCTTATCATAGAAGAAATTTTCCATTTCTTCCTTCCTGGCATTTATGACACTATTGTCATACAAGTTACATATATATGTACATATATGTTAACATATGCACACATACATAGTGACATATTAACACATATATTGACATATATGTCAATATATACATATGTATATGTGTTAACATACATGTTTATATGTGTATTAACATATATATGTTAATGTATGTGTTAACATGCAAATGTTAATATATGTGTGTTTATATATGTTAATATATGTGTGTGTTAACAAATATGTTAATATAGGTGTGTTACATATATATTTATATATGTGTGTTAATGTTTTGTATCCCACATATTTAAACAATTATCTTTTGAATTGATTTAAATAAAAAGAAAAATCTTTGATATTTCCCCTAGAATTACCATTTCCATTGCTCTTCATTTATTTGTATAGTGTAAATCCATATTTCCATCTAATGTCATTTTTCTTTTGCCTTACAAGAATTAACTTCTTTAAAATGTCTTATGGCACAAGTCTTCAGGTGAAAACTTATTTCAGCTTCTGCATGTCTAAAAAGTCTGTATTTTACTTTCTCTTTTGAAAGACATTTTCACTGAATATAAAATTCCATGTTGACAGTTTTCTTTCTTTTGCATTACATTAAAGATTTTTCTCTTTTGTTTTCTCACTTGCATTGCTTCCAATCTACTATCTTCTTTATCTTTTCTCTTACATATATATTTTTTCTCTGACTACTTCTAAGATTTTCTCCTATAATTGTTTTAAAGAATTTTAAGTATAATATGCCTAGGCCTTAAAAATAGCCTTGACGTTGCTTAAGACTACAGACATAAATGAAACTAAACTTGGGTCATTTCTGCTAAATGCTTGTGTTGTTGTCCTCCCTCTGTCCATGTGTTCTCATTTCTCAACTCCTGCAATTGTGTATGCAGGAACAGAAAACCAAACACCGCGTGTTCTCCGGGCGGCGGAGGTTGCAGTGAGCAGAGGTCACACCACTGTACTCCAGCCTGGTGACAGAGCAAGACCCTGTCTCAAAAAAAAAAAAAAAAAATCTAGGTTATTAACTTTGCAGCCTGTTTTCTACTATATTAACTTACAATTCTATTAGCTTTGTTGTATTATTAATTCTTTACAATAACTATTTTTTGCAAACAGTTGCATTTCTTTTATTTTCAATTTTCATAAATATTCTTTTTTATCACATTTTTGAATAAAGTCCTCAAGGGCCATGTTAAATTTACCATTTTGCCTTTTCATAGGGGAGGAACATTTAAAACTTCACCACTTTACCATTAATGATGAGAAATTAATTTTATACTTCCAATTTGCTGAGAGTTTTTATCCAGAATGCATATATAATTTTTGGCAAGTTTTTTTTCTTCATTTACATAGATGGTGTATTTTTTTGCTAGCTTTTTAATGTGTTGATTTACATTGGTTGATTTTCAAATGTTAAACCAAGCTGACATTCCTGGAGTTAGTTCTCCTCGTAGTGTTATATTTTATGTATTACTGGCTTCAATTTGCTGATATTTCTTGAGAATTTTTCAATTTAAATCCATGAATGATATTAATCTATAACTTTATCAGTAATGTTTTTGGAAATTTTTGAAAGCTGGATTAGATGCTTTAGGAAGCATTCACTTCTCTTCTAATTAATCAATGATTTTACTTAAATATTTGAAATAATTTACTAATTGAGCAATCTGGGCTTGGAATTTTTGTGGAAAGATTTTAAATTATAAATTAAAAAAACAATATAGGGGTATTCAAAGCTTATATTTTGTCTTTTGATAGTTTTGGTAACCTGTATTTTCCAAGAAAATGATCTTCTAAATCCCAAATATTATCAAAACTTACTAATGCTGTTTATAGTTATGAATTCATTATATATTTAATATGTATAGAAACTGTAATGATCATGTTTTAATTTCTGTTGCTAAAAATGTTAATGTCTTTTTCTTGATCAGTCTTGTTATTTGTCTATCAATTCCATTAATCTTTTTAAATAACCAACTCTGTCTTTTACTAATTTGAATTCTATTTCATTGATTTTTGCTATTCTTTTCTTTCTTCTAAAAACTAATTTGTTCTTAAATTTTTTTAATATAGTTTTCTGGCTTCTTTAATTTGCTCATCTGGCTTTTAAGTGGAAAATTTAGCTCACAGATTTTATACTTTCCCTTTTTTTAAAAAATAATGTAAGCCTTTAAAGCTATACATTTTCCTCCACGCAAATATTTAATTTTATCCCCTAATAATTTTGATGTATTGTACTTTAATTGTCATTCAACTGGAAATAATTTCTATTTTCCCTTGTAATTTATTTTTTTAACCAGTAGTTCTAGTTAGGAGAATATTGCTTTATTACTAAGTATTTTAGGGAATAACTATGTATCTTTTTTATGTATCTAATTTAATTTTGTTGGGCTAATAGTAGATACTATGTATGATTTCAAAACTTTGAAATGTATTCAGTTAATAATTTGCATATATTATAGCTCTATGGTGATCTGTAAATATTAATTAGACTAATTTAGTTGATTGTGTTGTTCAAATCTTCTACAATAATATATTTTTGTCTACTTGCCTTATCAATTATTGAGAGAAGGATGTCAAATTCTTCACTATTATTACAAATGTATACTTTTCTTTCTTTAGTGCTGCCAATTTTGCTTTCATGAATTTTGATGCTCTGTCATTTAGTATATATTTAGAAAAATTAAATTGACCATTTTATCTTTATGAAGTGCCCTTTTTTATCTCTGGCAATACTCCTTGTACTGCAGTTTGGTTTGTCTAATGCTAATATGGCCACATTAACTTTTTGAGTTTATATTTTTCATGCTGTATCTTTTTCCATTATGTTATCTGAACTTTTCCATGACTTTATATTTTAAAATGCATCTATTGAAAGCATGTTGCATATTGCTTTTATTTTTAAGTCTTACAAGTTATGTCCTTTTTAAAAACATGCAGTCCATGTCATACAATTTAATTACTGTCTTTAAAATTCAGCTACTTTTGCTACATGTTTCATAATTATTGCCTCTGTTCTCTGTCTCCTTATCTTCCTTTTCTGTCATTGCTTGGATTAATTGAACACTTACAGTTTTTCATTTTATCTAACTTATTGTATTTTTTCTATACTCTTTTATGGTGTGCACTAGGAAGAATGAGTTGTTTAGCTGCAGGAACAGTGGTACTAAGAATAGTAGTACTCTGAATTTTATAAGGTTTTAATTATGTTTATAAAAAGCATACAATTTCTCAACTAACAAGATGTTGGTATGACATTAACTGCTATTTTAAGTAAAATATATTTAATTAAGATTTTTTAAAAAGCAAAGGAAAAGTAAAACAGAACTTAAGCTCATCCAATCAGAAGGAGCCAACAGTCTTATACTTACATAACTAGAGACTTGAGTAAGGTGAAAAACAACAAAAAAAGCAACTTTATAACTGCAACCAATCAAATAATTGTTAAATTTGGCTTCTTCTTTTTCTCAATAAGCACTTGCTTCTGGAGTTGGGGAGGAATAGTAGTACTAAGCAATATGAGAACATGAGATCTGTGGTTAGATGTCTTTCATTAATTTTATAAAGTTCACAGCCATTACTGCTTCAAGTATTTCTTGCATTTTATTTTTCTTTCTTTCTCTGTTTTTATATCAGTTATGTCTATATTGCAGTTTTAAAAATCGTTCTGTCATTCTTTGATGTTATGTTCTGTTTTTTCATTTTTTTTCTTTTTACATTTTATTCTGGGCACTTTTTACTGACATATCATCAAGGTCACTGATTCTTTCCTTGGTCATTTCCAGTCTAATATGCATCCATCTAAGACATTCTAAATTTTCTTACAATGCTTTTCATGTGTAGAATTTTCTGTTGATTCTTTCTTAAAATTTCCATTTCTTGACTCACATTACCCATCTGTTCTTTCTTATAATAGTAAACTTTTTCTATGACAGCCCTTAGCATATTAACTATAGTTATTTTTAGGTTGTCTGTCTGATAACTTCAACATCTGTGTCAAATCTGAGTCAGGTTCTTATCTTTGTTTTCTCTCTTCAGGCTTTTTCCTCAGGGCCTAGAGCATGACTTGTGGTTTTTGCCAGAAACCACGTATGTTCATCAGATAACAGAAACAAAGTATAATGTTTCTCTAACGTGAGAATTTGTGTTAATTTAACTAGAAGTTGGGCTTTGTTTCTTGGTCTCTGCAATTTACATGGCAGAGGCTTTAAATTTTTCTGCTGTTCTTTTTGCCACTCCTCGTGACTTTGGCCTTCTTAAGTATTCCTTATTAGAAAGAGTCTGTATCTTGCAACTTTTTCAGCTGTTACCCACTATTATTAAATACATGAGCTCTGGTGGTGTAATGTTAACACGTGAGGGAGGAAGGCTTTTTATAACCTTAAAATTTATCTCAGTCTTTTGTGCGTTGTGTCTCTGGCCTGTGACCTGTGTAAGTTTTTTTTCTTGTGTATCTTTTTTCCCTTCTTATCTGATATAGGAATGCTGGTGGGGGCTAGGGTGGAAAGAATGACCTTCTATTAAGGCTCTAGAAAACTCTGGTACAGTCTTCTTCAGGATAGTAGGCCTTTGTTAATGTCATGGTGTTAATTCACAAGGATTACTCCTTTTGTCCCCCTTCTATAGTCATGGGGAGATCTTTCTCGCATCTTCGCCATGGTGGGTTGAACATAAATCTTATGAAAGTGAGGGGTCCTCTGAAGGCTACAGCCCCTAGAATTTTCTCATATTCAATGTAGCCCACACTCACCCACCAATTACTTATCAAAACTACTATTCATTTGGTTCCAGTGGCTTCTGCTCCATGTAAAGAGATCTTGACTATTACTTTAGGTTCGCTTGTTTCTCCAGATTTCAGGAAAGCAGTTCGTCCTGCTACGTCAATTATCTGATGGATATTAGAAACATTATTGATTTTTAGTTTGTTCAGCTATGATTGTTCCATAAGGAATGGAGTGGTGTCTTCAAAGTTCTTTGTATAATGGAAATAAAACTAAGAACTCCTGCTATTAGTTTTTTTGAGCCAAATTATTAATTATATCTCAAATATATATTAAGAGTAAGTTTCTTTTCTACTTGGCATCCTGTCAAGAGATTTTTGAAGAGCAAGTTACAAACAGGTGTTTTTGTTTGTTTGTTTATTTTTGTTTGTTTTACAAGGTGGTTTAGAAAGTCTTAATCTTGGTAAGAAACTTTCAGTCTCACTTCCCAATCATTCAGTGGCTTAGGTGTCTTTTTGGCCATCTTGGTCTTCATGGGTTTGGTTTTCTCTGGTGCTAATTCTGCAGGTGCAGAGAATGCAAGATTTGTGTAGGCATGACTTCTTCCACCTAGATTTTAAAGGATGTTGTGGATAGTCTCGGGCCAGGCAGAGACTTCTCACAGGAAAGGAGCCACTGTGGAAAGTCCCCACTAAGGCAATGTTTAGTAGATCCACAGAATCAGGGCCACCCCAAGACACCAGAACTGTAGAGTTACCAGTGTGCAAAACCAATCTGAGGGAGCTGCAGGCAGAAGACACTAAACTGTGAGAGATACAGTGTGGCCTGTGTTCAGCAAACCCATAAAGGCAGGACTGTGAAAGGTTTTGTGGCCCAATCCTCACCCCACTAGAATATAGGATACAGAGTCAAAAAAGATTATTTTCCAGCCTTAAGACTTAACGTTGTTTTCCCCATTGGGCTTTGGACTTATTAGGGACTGCTTTCTTCTTGTGTATTTCTCCCTTTATGAATAGGAATGTCTATTTTATGCTTGTCCCACCATTGTATATTGGGAGCACATATCTTGTTAATTTCACAGGTTCATAGCTGAAGAGAAATTTATTTTAGGATGAATTATGACTTAAGTCTCACCCATATCTAGCTTAGACATGACTCTGGCCTTTGGACTTGTATATTGATGCTGGAATGAGTTAAGACTTCTGAGACTATTGGAATGGAATGAACATATTTTGCATTGTGAGAAGGATGTGAATTTTGGGAACCAAGGGCAGTATACTGTGGTTTGAAGGTATCCCCAAAGGTTCATGTGTTGGAAACTTAATTTCCAATGCAACAGCATTTGAAAGTGGGGCTTAATAAGACATGATAAGGTTATGAGGTTTCTGCATTAATGAAAGAGTTTGTCTTTATTGAGGGAGTGAGTTAGTTATCACAGGAGTAGATGTGTTGTAAAAGGGATTTCATTCCCCACTTGCTTTCCTGCTCACATGCTCTCTTATCTTTGCAAGCCTTCTGCTATGATCTGATGCAGCATGAAGGCCCTTGCCAGATTTTGGCACTTTGATATTGGACTTCCCAGCCTCCAGAACTGTAAGAAATATCTTCCTTTATTATTTAAGAGATAGAGTCTCACTCTGTCACCCGGACTGGAGTACAGTGCCACAACATAGCTCACAACAATCTCAAACTCCTGGGCCCAAGCTATCCTCCTACCTCAGCCTTCCAAGTAGCTGGGACTATAGATCTGAGTCACCATGCCTGGATAATTAAAATACATTTTTTGAGGAGGTAGAGATGGGGTCTTGCTATGCTGCTCAGACTTGTCTCAAACTCCCGTCCTGAAGCCATCATCCTGCCTTGACCCCCCCCACCAAAAGTGTTGGGATTACAGGTGTGAGCCACCACACCTGGCCATAAATTTCTTTTTTTAATAAATGACCCAGTCTGTGGTATTTTGATATAACAACACAAAACAAAGATAATCATTGACTTGGTTAATTGAAGTCTGTTCAAAACTACTCTATACACATCATTAATTTTAGAAGACACAATTTCTGACTCCTGCTTTGAAGGTTATCTTCAGACCCAAGACTTAATCCAAACAAGCGGAAGTGGTGTAGTGTGGATATAGTCAAGCACTTCTACCCAGTATGGACCTAATTACTGGATTAAACATACTTTGTCTGATGGCAGTTTCTCTTGCCCAATAAATATAAGGAGCCATCTCTGACTTATGTCTAATGTTCTGGGATCAAGTTTCTCCAACCAGAGTTCTTTTACCAGTATCTTAATCTACATTCCTAAGAAAAATGTTCTGAGATGAAAATGACCTTTATAATCTAAGAAACACATCTTACTTTAAGACTTCCCCCCATTAATAAATTGTCCTTTCTTATCAAAAAAGTAGAATTTCAAGTTGAATTTAAATTTAGAAATCATGCAGTGTAACCTACATTTCACATTCAAACTTTTGTTACAATATCCCTAAAATGTAAACTGCTGGCTTCTAGTAAAGGAAAATGTGCGACCTTCAGAAACACATAAAGCAAGGTATTTCCAAGGTAGAAGATGCAAAGAACTGTGAATCTGAGATGTCCAGTTAATTTTGTTGCAGCACAAAATAAAATCCATTCAGAATATATCCACATTTATTTATCCCCACTGCACAGACCTACCCCAAGCCACTATCTGCAAATTTCCTATAATGTTGGGATAACTTTTGACAGAACCTTCTCTGCTCTGTCCCAGCTCTTATCCTTTCTCCCTGCAATAGAGAGAGCAATCTCATTAAAAAAGCTAATTAGATATTTTTATCTTGTCTGCTTAAAATTCTTCAATGAGGTTCTATGGAACATGAATAAAATTCAAACTGATCTTGAAACAAAATTTAAACTCTTCGCCATGTTCTACAAAGTCTCTGCATAGTCTTCAGTTTCAACATTCTCCCCAGATTCCTATATTTTACCTATGTGGGCCATAATTTCCTCAGACACACCAGCCCCTTCCTCAGCAGAATACCTTTGCATATGTCATTCCCTCATATTTAAGTATAATTTTCCTCCAGATTTCTGCTTATTTCTGCTCCAGAGAGTCTCTGACTAGTGTCTGACTAGAAAATTATTTTAATACTTTTCTTCTTCATCCTATATTGTTCCTAGCCCAGGACTCTATTCATTTTCTTCATAGCCCATGTCCTAATTTATTATTATAAAAGGATAAGTGGACACATTTTTGAAATGACATGTTTTGCCTTTTAGACTTTGAACCCATGAAACCATGTTGGCAGATAAATATCTAATTTATTATTATTATTTAACCGCCATAGTATCAGAGCACAGGAAAGTGCCTGGCAAGTGATAGACATTTACTAAATATTTGTTGAACCAGCTTTGGAATTATTTTGATTAAAAAGATGTAATGTGCAAGGAAGTATTAATAATTGTGTTCAATAGTGTAAAATCGAGTTCATATCTATAAGTAGCTCCTTGGTGAACAGTTGTAAATTCATAGCTTATAAAATTATTGCAATTATTAGGTATGTATATACAGAACAATGCTAAGGACAAAAATATTGCTTGACTTACATGTTAATATTTATCTTATCATTCAAAAGATTATAGTTTAGTTTCTTTTTTTGTTCTGGTCAATCAACAAACAAGGAGTAAGCTTCTAGATTCCCCATGGCATATAGAAGGAGTTTTAGTTCCTTTTTTTCTTATCCTTGGTACTGAATTCTAGAAGATGGTCTCAATCTTTAATGAAAGTTTGACAACGTTATTTCAAATCACTGTTCCTCAAAACTCCTTAGTCTTCAGGCATAATACATCTTCACCTTGTGATAGGAAGAAGAATTCAATATCTTTATTTTGGCCATATTAACTTTGAAATATTATTATATATTCAAATTAAGTTGTCAAGTCACATTGGATATGTAAATCTATTTCTCAGAAGAATTGTTAATGGCACAAATAGCTATTAGTGTTACCTATTATTACACTGAGAAAATAATTTTACTTGTCATTTCACAATCAGATCATATTATTATTATATATGTATGTTTTTATAAAACAAATTAAGATTTTGTTTTAATAATATAGTTACTGCTTTCTAAAAAATAGTTGATTAACATTCTTACTGTGTGTGTGCCTATTGTAAATAATGCATTTAAAAAATAGTGTTTTAAAACTCATGTAAAAATTGTGGATATTTATTTTGGTCTACTTTTTATACTCATTATTTAAGTAGTATTTGTTTGGAGATTACCAGGTTTCTTATATACTCACACTATTTGCAAACAATGAAAATATTGTTCTTTCTTTTTAAATATTTTTATCTTATATTTTTTATTAAATTGCACTATCTATACCTCAGATCTATTCAAATATTTTAAATTCTACATCTTATAATCTCATTGCATAGATCTCTTGAGGTCTGTTTTTATTATTTGTTTTTCCCTTAGTATTCTCATTATCTTATCACCATATATTTTGTTCTTTCTTGAATTATGAAAATTTTATATGAAAAATTATGAGATAAATTTGAAACTTGGAATGTTACTATCTTTTGTCAAAGATTATCTCCTTGACCAAATTCTAGCCAGGCTCCTCTGAGTCCTCTAAGGTCCCTTCTGAGGCCTCAGAATTGATCTATTAAGACTTGAAAAAAACACTAATGTAATTTCTAACAGCTGAAGGCTGAGTTCTTAGGATAATCATAGCTCCCCCTTAAAGTGCATGCCAGAGAAAATTCAAGGCTGCCGAAAGAGTTTATTGTTTGTTCTAGCCAAGACCTGAGGATAGGGCCCCTGTCTTCCAGTCCCTGGAGGGGCAGGAGTCTGACTTCCATAAGCTCCAATTAACAAATGCCAGTGGATTTCACATGAACCTACACCCCTCCTTCCCAATTTTTAGAAGTTTTCATTCTCTTACCTCTACTAATCCTTTGCTTGCCTCACTTCCTATTTTCTCATTGTTCCTATAAAATGCGAAGTCACTTAAGTACAAATTGAACTTGACTTCAGTTCACACTAGATTCTTTTCCTTATAACATATTACTGATTAAAATAGTATAGTACTGAGTAAAATCTATTCTTACTACTCTAACTAGTGTCCAGATTTATCTTTGACACTCTCCAGGAATGATTTACATTTGCTTCTATTAAGTGACCAGGCTTATGCAATTTTCTTACAGCAGTTTCAGGGATTGAGATAATATGAAACTGAGTTTTGACCCTATTAAGGCCAATCTCCTTTGCTTACCCTCATTCTTGGATATAGCTTGTCAATTTTTGGTTCTCTGTCTGTTCCAGTTTTGTCTTTTGACCACTTCATTTGGAATTGGCAGATTCTTCTAGAGGAAATCTGAGGCACTGGGTTTGTCTCTTGTTTCCTTCTTCTGTCAGATATTGGCCCCTTTTCTTCATGGTCACCTTAGCTCCCCAATCTTTTCAAAGTAGATTTTTTTTAACAGTTTTAATCATTTTCTTCATAGGTGTTTATGAGGATTGAAAAAATTAATTTTCACAAGTAGGTGACTTCACAGAATATAACACTAAACTATTAACACCATATTTTCTTGGCTTATAAAAATCATTATACATTTGTAATTATAATAATTGAATAAATATAATTATAATAGAATATGATATATAATTAGTCTACTAGTAATACTAGACAATTAGTGCTATACTTTCTAGTGCCTCATGGCTTCTACAAATTGTTATGTATTTTTTCTTCTTGTTCCTTTACTGTCTATTCCCCTTAATTTGTCACACCTTCACATTCCTTAGGAAAGTAGATCAGGGTGGTTAAGTTAATTTTTATCCAGATAAAATGGAATTAATTTATAGTACCTGCAAGATAATGGAAAGCCAGCCTGTAGATCTTTGAGCTACAATGTTCCAATAAGCTTGGCCTTGGTAATCATTATTGCATGATATAAACAGAATGCCTTATGCTCAAAAGCACCTCTGCATGGCTTGTTAAATGTGACATGGATTTATATCTCCCCAGAAGACACTTTACTTGGCAGAACTACCTTCTCTTACATGTAGGTATATATTATCGTGTAAAACAATGTATGCTTTTGTACAAGAGCGTCATTAAAAGACATAGGCATGAAAGACAAGGTCCCTCTAGGCTGACATAGTGCCGTCTGCCACCAATCAGGTACACAACTTTCTGTTAAATGTTCAGCAAGCCAAGCCACTACCCTGAAGCTTCCATTTATTATTTCAGTTTCTCCCACTTAAATATAAATAGCCATCAAAAGATTACCAAACATCTGAAGAAAATTTAACACAAAAAACAAAGCCAAAAAGAAAAAGAAAAACAATACATTTTGGATAAAACAAAAAACAATATAGAGAGCTAAGGAAAAAAAAATAAAAAAGAATTAACATCCTCTGAAAAATCAGAGCAGATCTCTGATACATGGAAAGAAAACCAGTCCAGACAAGTTGAAATGGAGAAGTTTGTTCCAAGGACCAGCAGTCCCAACTGAGGACAAAGAAGAATATTAGTAACAAAAAAGGGAAAATCTATAAATTTAATAGTATAAGTCCGCAAGAATCCTTCCCATAAATGTGTTTGTGAATTCCAGCTACCAGGGTTATCCCTTTAGGCAGAAGTATAAAAAACAAAGAAACAATGGGGTTTTGTTGTTGTTACTGAGTCAGTAATTTGCAGGAAAAGGCCAAGGCTTCCTTTATTTTGAAAACTACAGCTGGACCAACTGGACAGGCTACTCAGGCTTTTTTTTTCTTTTCTGGGTACGAAGTAGGTATGTGTTTTTCTGTATCTGTGTGCATTTACCCCCATCTGTGTGATAAAATGCAAATCTAATTGTCATGATGCCATGGCAAGGTATAAGCTGCTTTCACACTTCAAATATGGTTAAGATGTTGTTCCAAATATATATAAATCTGTTTTATTAAAATTAATCACTTCTTTGGAAAATTTGAGTCTGAAGTATTTTGAATGTCCAATAAACTGAATAAAGTCACTGGAAACCTGTATTGACAATTATTTTTTTAAAAAAGAAAAGAGCATGCAGGAAGAAGATTTTCAGAAAATTCCTAAACAAAGCTTACATTTTAATACTAAGCTCTAGTTTTTATTTACATTAGTAAAGAAAATTAAATATAAAAATCATTTTGATTATTATCAAGATTATATAACTCCACAACCATAAAATAAAATTTTCTGAGGTTTCTGGGCTAAACATAAATTAAGAAGTCACTAAGTCCTACTCTCAAAAAGCTGGATTTCAGAGAAAGTAAATGACTTCCTAGAATCCCATAACTTCTTATGACAAAGCCCAAACAGAATCTAAATTCTTATATAATCCTAATCACATGGCTTTTTCAAATCATCAGGATATTTCAATAACACTTTCTGTTTGAAAAACTGAAATACTACTGTTTCTTTATTAGACTTGCTTTCAAATTTCCACTCCTTTACTCAAACGTCACTAGGAAAATAATATTTTAGAGTTTTTAGTATGTAAAGTTGAAGTCTTGATTTTTTACATTTTGTGTTTTATGTATTTGTGAAATTTATTTCTTAAGATGCATCTTAGTCTGTTCATGTTACTACAGTAGAATAACCTCAGGTAGGGAAATTATAAAGAATAGAAGTTTATTTTTTCGCACTTCTGGTGGTCAGGGAGTGGATTCAGTTGTCTGGTGAGGGCTGTATCCTCCAGAGGGAAGGAACACTGTATCCTCACATGGTGGAAGGTGGAAGGGGAAGCCAGTTGAACGTTGCATGAAGTCTCTTTAATGAGGGCCTTAAACCCATTCACAAGGGAGGAGCCTCATGGCCTAATCATCTTTTGAAGGCCTCCCCTCTTAATGCTATCACATTTGCAACATCTGAATTTTGCAGGGGACACATTCAAACCACAGCAGGATGCAATATGAAAGATCTTTGCTTATGGTCGAGGACTCTATAGATTTCATTTTTGTTGTTGTTATTTTGTAATTCATCTATTCATTCAGTGATGACTTTCTGAAGGCCTCGTGTTGGATAGTATGAATATCAAAATAAATTAGGCATGATACACACCCCAGTGAGCTTTCAATCTATTAGAGGGAAACTGATACATAAACTGTAAATACAATACTAAGATTCTGGAGTCACTGTAGAAGTAAACAGTGGGTACAGTTGTATACAAAGGAAAGAGTGGTAAATTGTATCTCTGGAATCCAGGAAAAACCTCACAGAGGTTATATGACTTTACTCTTGAACAATGAGTAGGCTTTACTCATAGAGATAAGGTGACATAGGGATTGTGGTGATGGTGGGGGTAAGGGGTGGTGGTGGGAGAAGTTGAAACAAAAAGACCATTCTTAGCAAAAACAAACTTTCAGAACTGCAAGTATTTTGATATGGTTAGAGAGTGATATCTGATGAGAATTTCAGTAAGGGATGATGTTAGAGGCAGAACTTGACGCCTCCTTCGTCATTATTTAGGTGATTGAATATGTTGTTTTTCTCCTATAGGTAAAAGTGAGTAACTGAAGCAAGAAGTAGAATATTTATATTTTATAAATATATGAAATATATTAACAGTGAATTGAAGGGGATAAATATTTAATTTTAAAATACTGGGCAATTATTCTAGCCTCTAATCCTTAAAATTAATGCCATCATGTGTGGGAATGCAAAAGGCTGAGTATATGCACTTGCTTTAGTGGGTGTAGATCAGGAAGTGGTAGTCACATACAGGATTTGGGAAGAAAGAATTATGGTCAATTTTCTACATCACTGGTTTCCTGAGGAATAGAATACTGAAAAATTGGCTGTTTGGGAAAGGAGAAAGTTGTAGTTTCAGTTAAACGAATTTTAGGGAAAATTAAAAATGTTGATTAGAGAGTTGCATATATAGATGAAACCCAGGAAAAGAATTATCTGGAAAATAGAAGTCACCCTAGTTGTACATACATATGGGAAGAAAAGAGGAGCAATATACAATTCTAGGATATATTTCTACTTAAAAATATTATTTAAAATATTGATAAAAAAGGACATTTAAATAGTACTAAAATATTCTTTAAAATATTGATAAAAATAGAACATTTTATTAGTACTAATAAAAATATTCTTTAAAATATTGATAAAAATAGGACATTTTATTAGTAGTAATAAAAATATTCTTTAAAATAGTGATACAAAATAGGACATTTTGTTAGTACTAATAAAAATATTCTTAAAAATATTGATAAAAATAGGACATTTTGTTAGTACAAATAAAATCTAAATTTTTCCTGAGCTTCACAAATGTACTATAAAAAGTGGTTCATTTCCAATTTAAGTTTGCTGTATCTTTAAATAACTCCAATATTATTCCTCACTTCACTATTTATAAGAAAGGTCTATATTATAAAAACAGGCCTCCCCAAATCGTTTTTAAAGCAGCAAGTGTTTGATTTTTACAAGCTATACACATTCAGAATCAATCTTCTCTTTACATGAAAATGTTGCCTGTAGTCCCTAAAATATTCTCAATAAATCTTTAAATATTTAGTTAGAATTAGAAAACTATCTTGTCAAAAAACTTTACCAATTATCTTACCTAACTCTTCAAATAAACAAACACTTTGACATGTTGGTATTTTACTCCAATGGATTGCATTATTTATATGATTAAATAAATGAGTGGGTAATGGAACAGTATCATGCGCAAGATTTTTCTAAGGGTTTGGTAATAGTGAAGCAGCTATCTTCAAATGTTACTTATTTTTGTTGCTTTTTTCTTAGCGGAACAAGTCATATCCGTGTATCTTAGATTTGTTGCTCTACATCATTTCTGATGTAATGGAACATCAGATATGGTAGAACCATAAAAACTATGTAACCTGATATGAATTTCAGTATACTCACGATAAAGATACACTCTTATTGCGAGGTACACTCGCAATAAGAATCCATGCCTTATAGCTGGATCTACATCCATGATCAAATTATGTGTTTCAGTGTTTGTTTGGGTGATTTAAATCACAATAATCATGTTATACGTCATATGTCTCTTTCACAAAAGGTGTTTGGACAAGTTTTTTTTTTTTTTAAGTCTTACATGAAATACCTTTTGTGGACATATATGTCTCATAATGAAGAAAAATATATAGCATATCTAAAATGATGTTCAATTAAGCAATACTTATGAATAATATAAATCTTTTAAAAATAATATTTTAAAATGGCTAGGTGCAATGGCTCACACCCGTAATCCCAACACTTTGGGAGGCTGAGGCAGGGGGATCACTTGAGGTGAGGAGTTCAAGACGAACCTGGGCAACATGGTGAAAGCCCGTCTCTACTAAAAATACAAAAATTAGCTGGGAGTGGTGACATGAGCCTGTAGTTTCAGCTACTCCGGAGGCTGAGGTGGGAGGATCCCTTGAGCCTGAGAGGTGGAGGTTGCAGTGAGCCAAGATGACGCCACTGCACTCCAGCATAAACAAGAGTGTGAAACTCTGTCTACAATAATAATAATATAAAAAATGCAAAATATATTTATGTTGTATTTCCTAAATCTCATATAGAATGAATAATATTATGATATCGAAATTTTTTTACATTCACATATTTTAAATTACTATATTATCATTATATATAGAAATTTCCTGTGTCATATTTCTGAGCATTTAAATGTCATCTAAAAGCTCAATTGTCATTATGTTTATTCAACTAAATACTACCATTTTATACATCAGTTTTTCATATTAAAAGTAATAATTTTCAATTAAAACAGAAACTAGTACAAGCCAGACATAGTTATAATGGGCAAGAGTCAGGGTCAAGATGTGGGGGTGAAGGGCAGTTAGGCCAGGGCCAGGGGGAGTTATAACAGTTCTAACGTAATAAACAATTCCATTCAGATTCCATTTTATCTTTCTAGTCTACCTTCCAACACCTCCACTGTGAATGTCTGAGCACATTAGCTCAGAGTGAGCATATTTGTGTCATGGGGAAGGATATCTGTCCTTTCAAGGACAGTTACTGAAAATATTTCCTGCTAAAACATTGACCAATACTACTTAACTTTAATTTAGTAGAGTAGCACTCTCTATTTGTATAGAAGCTGGGCACAAGGATTTGATGACTTTTCAGCCCAGTTTGGCTGTGAGTAACAGATAACTCAAAATAATAGTGCATTAACCAAAATAGAAGTTTATTGCTTTCTCACATAAACAATGTAAGGAAGGAAATTGAGGCTGTAGTGGAGGCTTGGGTGTTTGAAGTCCTCAGGCACCTGGGCTACTTCTATGATGTTACTTAGCCTTGTGCAAATCCCATTCTCAGAGCAACACCATAGTCAAAGATGGCTGATTCAGCTCCAGCCGTCTTCTTTACATTCTAGGCAGTGGGAAGGAAGAAGAAACAATAAGAATACATATAAGATTTTCACCTTTAAAGAAGGTTTATGGAAGAAAATACAGGACATTTGCTGATTAAGCATCATCTCATTGGCCATGCCTAGATATGAAATGGAATGAGAAATGTAAAGTCTTTTCAAAGTAGCCATGTATTTACTCATTCATTCTAAGAATGAGAGGACAAATATTAGGAAGAAAGCAGCAGTATGTACATAATGTTCCAAAATATTGAAAACACACAAACCAAACTATACATATTAAAATTATAAGAGTATTTAGTGAAAAGAAAGTGTTGTACTGCTAAATAATCCATTAAGAAAGAGAATTTTGAGACAATAAACTATTACCTTATCATATATACACATAACAAAGACTAGAATAACTTAATAATGTACACAATATTATTAAAACTAATTACTTCAAAGTAATCAAGCTGGAAATAGAAGTGCTCTATAATATAGCCATTAAGAACTCTGGCTTCTGGGCCGGGCGCGGTGGCTCACGCCTGTAATCCCAGCACTTTGGGAGGCCGAGGCGGGCGGATCACGAGGTCAGGAGATCGAGACCATCCCGGCTAAAACGGTGAAACCCCGTCTCTACTAAAAATACAAAAAATTAGCCGGGCGTAGTGGCGGGCGCCTGTAGTCCCAGCTACTTGGGAGGCTGAGGCAGGAGAATGGCGTGAACCCGGGAGGCGGAGCTTGCAGTGAGCCGAGATCCCGCCACTGCACTCCAGCCTGGGCGACAGAGCGAGACTCCGTCTCAAAAAAAAAAAAAAAAAAAAAAAGAACTCTGGCTTCTGAAGCAGATTTATTATCTTTGGAATCAGTTTCTAACATTCACAGCTATATATCTTGGGATATTTTATTTAACTTTTCTGTGTCCTTGTCTTCTTATATGTAAAAATGAGATTATAATATTTTGTATCTTATAGGGTTGTTATGAGGAATAAATGAATTAATGTAAGTAGTTTTCTTAAAGTCATGCATAGCATTTAATAAGAATTCAACAAATATTTGTTATATGCATATGAAAATAGTTTCAGTGTACTTTATTTTTACTTACTAACATTTTAAATATATTAAAATTAATATCATATACATATATGAAGCTTATTATAAAGTATAGCAGACATTATGGTAAATAAAGCAAGAGGTCATCATCTCCAAGACTGCTTAGGCGGAAGTTACTAATAATTTTCCATGGTTAATATTAAAAGCAAAAATTTATGCCCATTTCTTGAACTTGCCTGAGTAATAGAGGACAGCAATATCTATGCTTGCTTAAGTATTATTAACTTATGCTTTACTGTGTAGAATCAATGCATTAGCCGAAGATTTGTGAAATGGTATTACAAATGTTGTAAGTGGTTGTAGCAAAATCACACACAGGAATTCACATCAGTGGCTGCATGATAAAAATACTAATTTTATGTATGGTATGTTTAATATTTACCTGAGTTTTTAAGCAAAAGTAAGATTAAGAAGTAATGCCATAAATTCTGAAAAGTAGAAGTATTAAGAATTCCAGAAGAAACATGGCTATACACAGTTAATGATCATTACAATAATTCCACATCACTTATCCAGTTAATAATTCTCTTCATTAACAGGAAAAATAAATACAACAATAACCCATGAGTCATCTGCATTTGATCACAATCATTTAATATATGTTAATTGAAATAATGATCTCAATTTTGTCTCTGTTCAAAATTATAATTTCATGTAAAGAGTTTCTTTTCCCTTCCTGTTTGGATCCGTGAGAGTAAAACATGCTTTCATAATCAGGACCTCACATAAGCCATTTCAAAATGGTGAAACAGAAGATATAAAATTAACTGTATAGAACAGTAAATAGACATAAGGGTTTGCAAGTAACTATATGGATATAAATGAAAAATAAGTCAGACCAAGGAAATATCAGTTCCCCTCAATGATCAGAGAAATTCAACCTAAGCATTTTTTTCCTGAACTATTCAGAAAATTACAGTTCTCTAAGACTATTCCTGATGTGCTTGCAAAATAATTCTTTAAGAGCACAATCATTTGAGAGCTACCCAACGCAAACTGAGCTCTGCAACTATCCCCTGAATTCAGACTGTGAAGTCAACCAATTTAAATCATATCACCTCATTTTTTTTTTTTTTTGCTGAGTAGATATTTTCTTCTCATCTTCTAACTGAGGAAAACTCTATAATTCATAGTTTTTAAATTGTTTAATAAAAGCTTTTAACAAGTAAGTTGCCTCAAACTGGTAGGCTGTGGATTTTGAAGGGTTGACAGTTAGGTTGATACTGCCTTCTCAGTTACTTGCCAGTGCTATATTTTAAGCAAATAATTGGATAACACTTTCTTTCCCCCAGAAGTCTCAGGATTTTACAGTGACATTCCCAGTGTCAGCAGTGGCTTCATCAACAGTTACGTAAAATGTGAAGATGCCACCAGGAAGTCCTGTTTCACACTTTAGAAAACGAATGTTAGTGGATGTGTGGGTATGTGGGTGTGAAAAAAATAGGCTGTGTATTGTAGCAAAATTTGTAATGGAATTTTTTTTTTAAAGAAGGATTCCCAGAATATCACACTATAAGCATTGGACAACCTAGAGATTTTGTGAAAAATGAACACTCTTAAGGAAGAAGGATTTTTTGCATCTGTTTCAGGTAAGGATGTCTTCTACTTCTAATGTGAAGTATATGCAATGGAGGACAAAAATTATTTTGCAGTCAGTAGATGATCTAGTGTCAAATCCAATCTTCTTATTCCTTGCAGGTAGACATTTTAGAGAGACCATATAAAGCTACAAGTACCATGAATAAATATAACGCTATACCAGGATTCTTAAATAAACATTCTATGAGAGAGAAAAAACCAGTGGCTTAAACTACACTAGGAATTAAATGTAACATTTAAAATTTTCTGTGCATACTGGACAGACGAATAAAGGAAACATGAGTATACCTTAAAACATATTTTTTAAAAACAATAAGTATGACAATATAAGCTTTGAATCTTACACTTACTACAGGCAATCACAACAATGATATTTAATGTAAGACTATAAAATAATTCACAGTATTAATTATCTTATAAATTCATATTTTTGGCATATGATTTTTGTCAGCAGAAAATCTCTTCCTAAACTGTAGGATAAGAGATGACTTAATGTACTTCCATTCATACTACAGAAAATAATATTCTCCATAAAATGTTTCTATTGTAGTTTATCAGGATGACTCCTAGCTCTCAAAATATCATCTTGCTCAATACTGGCTTCCATTTTCAGAGTAATTTCAAGTGTTAATCATAAGTAAAAATTATTACTTAGAACGATTATCTTTTTGAGAGCAGTGTAAAATAGGAGAAGCAGAGAAGCTTAATAACAAAACGAAAAGAAATTTATTTTTCAGGGTTCGGGAGGCAGGGTGGGGAATATCAAGGTACTAGCGTCTGGTAGGGCCTTTGTGCTACATCGTTCCATGGCTGAAGGCAGAAGGGCAAGAAATTGTGAGAGCAAGGGAGCAAAAAGGGCCAAATTCATTTTTTTTTTTAAATGGAGCCTCACTCTGTTGCCCAGGCTGGAGTGCAGTGGCATAGTCTCAGCTCACTGCAACCTCTGCCTCCTGGGTTCAAGTGATTCTCCTGCCTCAGCCTCCTGAGTAGCTAGGATTACAAGCACCTGCCACCACGCTGGCTAATGTTTTGTGTTTTTAGTAGAGACAGGGTTTCAGCATGTTGGCCAGGCTGGTCTTGAACTCCTGACCTCGTGTTCTGCCCGCCTCGGCCTCCCAAAGTGCTGGGATTACAGGTGTGAGCCACCACACCTGGCCATTATAGCAAGCTGACTCTTGGGATAACTAGCCCAATCCCACGACAACAACATTAACCCACTCATGTGGGCAGAGCCCGCATAACCTAATCACCTCTTATTAGGCCCCAGCAATCAAAAGTGTTGCATTGGGGATTAAATTTTCAACACACAAACTGTGGGGAACACATTCAAACCATTGCAATAATTGAATTGTTTTCTTATAACTTTACTACTTTAGTATTTTAGTTATCCTGAAAATAACATTTGTTTACTGACTTTCATGCTTCTATGCTTATAAATATTTTCTATTTTTTTTAGAAAATATTTTATCTACCACGTGTCTACATATAAGTGGAGAGGGAAGTGTGACATGATAGACAATTCCAGGAATTTTTCATAATATTGAATTTACCTGTGTACATATGGTGTGCATTGATAAGCTTTTGCAGATAAAACATTTGTAAATAAGTACCTTTTAATACCTGTAGAAGAGAAACACACAGCAATTATATAGTACTGACCTCAGATGAGTCAAATTAGCCTTCAGGCCTAGGGTTGCTGACATCTTCCACCATTCCTACACTCTACCCATTTAAAAAAAATGTCCTTTTATTAAATCTTTCCTTAATTATACTAACTTACGCATGCCATCTCTTTTCTTCTGGGGACCTGCTTGACATCCCTGAAAACAAACAAACAAACACAAAAACAAAATATGAATATAGAAAAAATAATATTTACTATTAAAAAGACAAATAATAGCTTATATTTATTAAACACTTACTAGATGCCAGAAAATAATCTGACCGTTTAAAATTCATTAAATCATTAATTTATCACAACAAACCCCTACAGTATTATTATCATCTCTATTTTATGGTTGAAGAATCAATGAAACTTGCTCAAAGTCACACAGCTATTAAATAGTAAAGCAAGGATTGAACCCCAAACAATCAACTCCAGCCTCTTGAGGGCTACTCAAATGTCATTTGTTGATAGGAAGTGGCTAACTGGAGAGAGAGTGCCTCGACTAGACGTGGCTTTCTACCTGTCATATTTTGTATCATCTATAACTTCGTTTAGTGTTGCTAGGATTGATTTTTGAAAAGAAACCTGAATATATAGGTTTTTTTGTGTAACTCCTTCTCATGTTTAAATTTAGATTTGTTTTTACCAAAATAAACAAAACCCCAGAAAACAACAAAACAAACAAACAAACAAAAACACTAAAAACAAAACAAACCAAAAACTACTTTATGGACCAAACAAAACTTTCTACTTCACCAAAATTTGATCCACTGGCCAGTGCTTATAACCTATCATACAGGCGAAATTGAAAATTCAATTAATGTGTGAGTAACTTATTAAATAATTATGTTTTTCATAATTTATCTTGAAACAATTTTCAACAAAACTCTTTTTAGAATAGACTGTTTAGAAATATTTCACAGATTAAATGTGTTGCTAGTCTTTACTTTTTAGTATAAGACACAGTCCACTGACAACACAGGAAGTCTTGCATTTTCTATGCAATTGTCTTGGAGTAATCTTAAAGGATTATATTCTACTTGTGGAAAAACTTTCCTTGATACCCTATGTGTTTGGACTTTCTTGTGAATCAGTTTTTGAATAGTAGTAAAATACTGCCTTTGAAGTTGAATAGATCAAGTTATGGATACCAGCTCATGACTTATTAACTATTTATTAACTAAGGAAACCCTGGAGCTCAGTTTCCTTATTAATAAAAACTGGAGTGAAAATTTTTTTGTAGGTTTGTTGAGTACTAAATGAAATTATGTGTACAGCACCTACCACATAATGTAAGCTCTGGTGGAAGAATGCTTGGTTAAAATTCTAAAACAAACATTTATTAGCTATTTTATTTGTCTAAGTTACTTAACCTCTGTGTCCTCTGCACTCCTTCCTCCAGCTCCAGTAGTTCTCATATTTGTTAAAATATGCAGGTTCCTGGAACTTTCTCCCAAAGTTTGTGATTCAGTAGGTTGGAATGCAGCCCATTAATTTGCATTTCTAACAATCTCCCTAGTGATGCTGATACTGTTTCTCTGGAGACCATTGCTTTGAGGAACACCACTCTATGCAATGTTATTAACCTCACCTTTTTCATAGGGTTTTCAACCAGGCTTAAAAAATATACCATCTGTAATACATTTATCACCAACTGCCTAAGAATATAATGCTAACTAGTTGATATTATTATTACTATTACTTTAAAATATTTGTCTCCCTACTTTCTTTCAAAATTGTGATTGAGAATTTAACCACAGAATTCCTCTTGGTACCTTAATCACTTCTGTGAAATGAGGATGATATTTTTCTCATTCATAAAGATGACATTTCTTTATAAAGGAGGGGTAATACTTGTTCATAAAGGAAAGATGATTTGAATATTAACATTCACAAATTTACATATGTAAGTGTAGTAGTTAACTATTGCTGCAAAAATGCTGAATAACTCAGCTTAAAACAATGCACATATATTTTCTTCCTCTCTATTCTGTGAGTCACCAGGAGCATTCCTGTTTTAGGGTATGGGTGGGTCAGCTGGGTTGGCTTCAGACTTCTGGCCAGGGTCTGGCTCACTCCACTGGTCCATTCTGAGCCCAGGCTGAAGAGACATCAGCGATAGAGGGCATGTCTATCTCACAATGGTTAAAGAAGCAAAAGAGAGAAGCCAAAGCACCTAGGCACATTAAGGTACCTTGTTTATGTCATACTTACTAATATTTCCTTCGCCAAAGCAAGTCATTTGGCCACATCCAATATCAACGGTTTCAGGAATACTTTTTATCATGCTAATGGTAGATATAACAAAGTCAGGGGCAAAAAAAGGTTTAGAGACAGGTAGAAAGTGAGAACAATGATCCAGTCTACCAAAGTAAGGACATTAGAATATTCCAGATGTTATGGTTACTGTGGAGAGATGCATGCTTTCACATATTGTCATCTCTCTTCAGAAATATAATGCTGAGACTTTTTTTCCTAGAAAATGACTGTGAGGAAAGTGTGGAAAGTAGAGTGCACATTTGTAACACAAAGGGAGACCATCTTCAATTGAAAGTAACAACATTTTAGCCCTTTCTAATGACTCTTTTGTGCAAACGAAGGCCTCCTAAAATTTATGAAGATGATGATGATAATATTGTTTACGATGTCCTAGAATAAGAATTCGCATAAATAAAAGAAGAAAATCACATTACATTTTTATGTGCTACCATAATTGTATGTGTGGAATTCTTTTTTTTGGAAGCCTCTTTTGGATAAGAAATATTAGAATACTAGGGGAAATAATTACGTTAATTATTTCATATATGGTTCAAATTTATGTAGTTGAATTAGTTAATTCTGTATCATATATTATACATGGGGAAGAATTGGGGAAGTTTTCTTTCATGATCTCACTTGTTCTATCAGCAGTGTCTTGGCTCTGCCTTTAAAATATGTTTAGATTCTACTTATTGCCACCTTATTGCCATAACTTGGTTCAAGTTGTCATTGTCTTTCATCCTGGTGATTTAAATAGTCTCCTAACTGCCATCCCTATTTCCACTCTTGACCCCTTCAGTCTGTTCTTAGCACAGTAACCTGAGGAAACTTGGTTAGACATAAATTAAACCACGGAACTCTCTAAAGACTGCACATCACACCCAAATAAAAGCCAATTATTTTATCATTGGTTTCCAGACGCTCCCTTATAGCCCCATTGTTATCTCCCTCACACCATCTTCTCTCACTCAACCCGCTTTTCTCCCTCTGCAGCAGCCCCGTGACCCCTGTGCTCATCTCTTGTGATGCTGGGTATGTTCCCTCCTTAGGGTCTTGTGGTTTGCCGGACATGCTATTCCCATGATTAGTTCCTTTACTACCTGCACTTTTTGCTCAGATATTACTACAACTCAGTCAGACCTTTTTCTACTACGTTACTTAAAATAGCAACACATTCTTCCCAGCAATATGCCCAAATCATCCTCTGATTTTTTTAATTCTCCCAGAACATTTATCACCTTCCAACATACTATATAATTTACTTATTTATTTTTCTGTCTATTTCTTCAAAATATAATGCAAACTTGATAAGGGTAGGTATTTTTGTTTTTTTAATGATATTGTGCAATGCTTAGAACTATAGTTGAAATAAGGTAGGTGCTTCATTAATAACTTCAATAAAAAATATAGTTTATAGGAATATAGTGATAATATCAGGAGAGAAAAAACTGACAACTAAGATTATCTTATTTGTATTAAAATGTTAATATAGAACATTGTCTCAGCAATTGTTACATATAGCACTCTTCACTTTGAAATTGTGTGTATGCAGGAACAGAAAACCAAACACCGCGTGTTCTCACTCATAAGCAGGAGTTGAGAAATGAGAACACATGGACAGAGGGAGGAGGACAACACACACTGGGGCCAGTCGAGGAATAGGGGAAGAGGGGAGGGAGAGCATTAGGACAAATGCCTAATGCATGCAGGGCTTAAAACCTCAATAACGGGTTGATAGGTGCAGCAAACCACCATGGCACATGTATACCTATGTAGCAAACCTACATGTTCTGCCCTTGTATCCCGGAACTTAAAGTGAAAAAAAAAAAAAAAGAGAAAAGATCATGGGCAGATGTGCTCTGCTACAAGGGTTTGTGATAATGAAAAAAAAAAAAAATAAATGAATAAACACAGATTTCATACCCTGAAAGAAAAAGAAATAGTACGTATGTTTTATTACTTTATTTCAACAATTAAAGACTATCTTGCATATAAATATACACATATATGTGAGTGTTTATGTATAGTTATACATACAGAGTCATGCACCAGTTAACAATGTTTTGGTCAGTCATAGGCCACATATATGACAGTGGTCCTGGAAGATTATAACACTGTATTTTTACTGTACCTTTTGTATGTTTCAATATGTTTGGATTCATAAATTTTTATGATTGTGTTACAATTGCCTACATTATTCAATACAGGAGCATGCTGTGCAGATTTGTAGCCTAGGAGACATAGACTATACCATACAGCCTAAGGGTGTAGTAGGCTATAACATCTAGGTTTGTGTAAGTACATTCTATAATGTTCCCATAATTACAAAATTGTCTATGGATGCATTTATGCATTTCTCAGAGTGTATCCCCATTGTTAAGCAATGTATTACTGTATAATGTTAAAATTTTCTTACTGTAATGTTGAATGTTGAAACATAAAATATTTCTTAAGGAAAAATAAAACCAATTATAATAGATGGCCGTTGTAATCTTCATGATTTAATCATTCATTCAGTGGTAATTATAGCACATATACAATAACCAATAATAAATACAAGATACATAAATAAATCAATGGATCAGAACAGATAGTCCAGAAATTGACTGGAACCTATACAGCCAATTGATTTTAGACAAAGATGCAAGCACCATTCAATTCAGTGAAGAAACAATAATTTTTAAAATAGTGTTGAAATAATTGGATATTTATGTTCCAGAAAAGAAACTTTAAGATAGATACCTCACATCTACAAAAAATAACTAAAAAGATTCATATAATTTAATATAACATATAAAAATATAAATTTCTAAAGGAAATCATAAAGAAAAATATTTGTGACTTTAAGTTAGGCAAAGAATTCTTAGGTAACAAATTATCATTAGAATTGGTAAAATAAATGCTAAATTGGTCTTTACCAAAGTTAAAAACTTCTAATTTTTAAAAGACACTAACTAGTAAGAGAATTAAAGACTAGCCACAAACTGGGGAAAAAAAAATTACAAATCAGACATCTAAAAGAGGACTGAATTTAGCACATATAAAGAACCCTTAACTCTCAACAATTAGAAAACAAACCATGCAGTTCAAAAAACAGACAAAAATGTAAGCAGCAGTATAGCAAAAAAAATACAAATGACAAACATATGAAAAGATGTTTGACATTTTTAATGGCTGGAGTAATAAAATTACATCCATAATAAAATATTATGGCATACTTATTAGAATGTCCAAAATAAAACATCTGATCATAACAAGTTGGTGAAGA
Source organism: Homo sapiens (assembly GCF_000001405.40). Taxonomy (NCBI): domain Eukaryota; kingdom Metazoa; phylum Chordata; class Mammalia; order Primates; family Hominidae; genus Homo; species Homo sapiens. The sequence continues at coordinate 132,978,308 of NC_000004.12, read as the reverse complement.
TTTAGATAATTGGAACTCAGGTACTGCTACTGGAAATGAAAGTGTAACAATAACTTTAGAAATAATTTGGACATTCTTAAAATGTTAAACATACGCCTCTAATATCACCTAACCATTCCTCTCCCAATATTTTTGAAAGTAAACTTCTGTACAAAAAGTTGCACGTGAATGTTCATAGCAGTTTTATGTGTAATAGCCAAAAAGTAGAAACAAACAAAATGTTCATAAACAAGTACATAGGTAAACAAACGACAATATGTTCATGCAATGAAATACTAGTTAGCAATAAAAATTATTTAACTTTTGATACCTGTAATAATGTGTATGAATCTCAAAATAATTGTTGTGAGTGAAAGAAGCTAGACCCCTCTTCCCAGAAGTACATACCATATGATTACATTTTTATGAAATTCTAGAAAATACAAAGTAATATATATAAAAAAGCAGATTAGAGGTTGTCAGGGGATATAAGATGGCAGGAAAATATGGAAGGAAGGAATTACACAGAATTGTAAGGAAATTTTTGGCTGTGTTTTATGTGTTCACCATTCCAATTGTGTTGGCAGTTTGACAGGTGTGTTAAAAATGATCTAATTATAAATTGAAATATATGCCATTACTATATACCAATCACATCTCAATAAGGCTGTTAATTTTACAAAATTTAGGTGACATGATAATTGTACACATTTATGGGATATAGAGTGATATTTTAATACGTGCATACAATGTGTAATGATCAAATCAGAGTAATTAATGCATGCATCACCTCAAACATTTATCTTTTCTTTATGTTGAGAACTTCAAAATTCTCTCTTCTAGCTTTCTAAAAATATAAAACAAATTGTTGTTAACTATATTCACCCAACGATGCTATAGAAAGCCCTAGAATTTATTCCTTCTATCTAGCTGTAATTTTGTATCCATTAACCAACCTGTCCCTGTCCTTTTCTCTCCTCTTCACTTCCCAGCCCCTAATAACCACAATCATACTCTCTACTATGAGCTCAGCATTTTTTAACTCCCAAATTTGAGTGAGAACATGGGATATTTATCTTTCTGTGTCTGACTCATTTCATTTAACAAATGTCTTTCAGGCCCATCCATGATGCCAGGAATGACAAGATGTCATTGTCTTGTATGGCTGAATAGTGTTCCATTGTGTATATATACCACATTTTAAAATGCATGTTATTTATTTATTTATTATTATTTTTTTTTGAGATGGAGTCTTGCTCTGTCACCCAAGCTAGAGTGCAGTGGTGCACTGTCGACTCACTGCAACCTTGGCCTCCCGCGTTCAAGCGATTCTCCTGCCTCAGCCTCCTGAGTACAGGATTACAGGTTCCCGCCACTGCTTCCAGCTAATTTTTGTATTTTTAGTAGAGATGGGGTTTCACCATCTTGGCCAGTATCCATTTATTTTTTAAAGACACTTAGGTTGATTCCATATCTTGGCTCTTGTGACTGGTGCTGCAGTAAGCGTGGGGTTGCATACATCTCTTCATTATACTGAATTCCTTTCCTTTGGATAAATACCCACTAGTGGGGTTGCTAATTTTTTAAATAAAATTAAAGGAAAATAAAATCCATGGCCATGATCAATGCTAATCTGAACCTTCTTTATTTCACAACTTAATTTAACCAATTATAAGTTTTATTATTTGTAGTCTATACCTGGTAATGACAATATATTGTGGGAATTTTTTTCTTTCAACATAGTAATAATTTTCAGAACACCTTATTAATAAACAAAAGACAGTAACATGGCAAATGATTTTTTAAGTTATTAAACGATAATCTCCTTTCTACTTGTACCACTTGAACCAGTTAATGTAATAGTTTTTGACAGTTCCAGTATGAAAAAGGCTATTTTCTTTTCAGGGAACAAACAAATTTGCAATACATTTTTAAAACTGTTGTTGTATTTTAAGGATTATTAAAACTCTTTGAACTAGTTGGTAGTGATGATCAATAGAAGACAAAAAAAATTACATGCTCTCCAATCAGTTTGCTGTAAAAATAGTTTTCATAGCACACATATGCAACTTCTGATTTTTTTCCATTATCATGTAAAAGATTACTAGCAGATAAATAAATTCAAAGGAGAAATGAAAATATAATGCTAATATATTGCTGATTACTTGTTGCTAGTATAATGTATTGCTAATACCATGCAAGTGTAGAGAAAAGTCATAATAATATTAGAAAATGTATCTTATTAAGGTAGACACCAATCATTTTATTAAAGCTTAATAGAGTACGTACCCACCCATTAACCAAGAAAACCAACAACTAGAAAGACAGAATTTTTTTATCCAATAACATTTTCTAGTTTATTTTAATTTTACTTCACAAATGTATTTCATATAATCAAATTTCAAGCTGTGTCCAAGAGTCAATAACAATTCAGTTTTATTAGCTTAACCTTTTACTCCTAAATGTTATACAAATATAATTATTTGTTGATTAATTTAAATCAATGACATACTTTAAGTAATGTCTGAGCACTTGTATATTCTGAAGAGGTTCAGAATTATACAGCTAGGAAGAGCCTTAAAGTTATAATTCTGATGTCAAGTGCATGTAATTTTATTCTAGTTTTTTGAACACTGTTAATCCATGTATGATATATTTGACAAATGTCAATTACAAGAATGTTCAATTAACCAAAAGACCCAATTTTCTGATTATTTTTGGGTGAATGGGTGCTTACTAAAATTTCTGTTAAGAAATAATTGACATAAGTGTAGCTTTTCTTATTTATATACCCCTGCATAATGAAAATTGAAGATCTCTGACCTGAATTCTTTCTATCTTTCTATCTTTTGATAGAAGGAATTGATAAGTAAGGTAGTTTCCCCTGAAATGTGTGTCTTGAGAGTTGAAATATAGAGTTCTAGCAAACACAGGATTTACAATATGGATTTTTATATTACATTTATTCCTTAGTTGGTAATGCTTTAGTGATTTTCAATGCATATTATATTAAGCTTTACATTTGCATATTGTACAGATTAAGCTATTGTCTTTCAGAAGGGTAGGAGAAGGGTTTCTTTCATCCTATTTTACTTATGGTTTCTGTCAGCTTAGTTGGCAACTGCCTTTTATTTGCACAGCAACCATTAGTTTCAGCCTCTAACTTCTTCAAGATTCTTTTTTTTTTTTTTTTTGAGACAGAGTCTTGCTGTGTCACCCAAGGTGGAGTGCATTGGCGCGATCTTGGCACACTGCAACCTCCGCCTCCTGGGTTTAAGTGATTCTCTTGCCTCAGCCTCCTGAGTAGCTGGGATTTCAGGCACTAGCCACCATGCCAGGCTAATTTTTGTATTTTTAGTAGAGATGGGGGTTTCACTATGTTGGTCAGGCTGGTCTCAAACTCCTGACCTCTTGATCCGCCTGCCTCAGCCTTCCAAAGTGCTGGGATTACAGGTGTGAGCCACCGCGCCTGGCCCTTTTTCACAATTCTTAAAACCAGCCTAATCGTGTGAGTGTTATAGCACCAGCTTGCCAAAGCCCCACTCAGAGTCTGAGCACCAACTCTGTAGGGTCTTTTCTAGGGTCTGATAATCTCACTATATTCTCTTTGTTCTTAGCTGCTATTTCCTTCAGTTGTTATCTCTGTGATAATTCAGTTCGTATGCATGTGCTTTAAGCTTTTCAACAAACACGTTATTAATCCTTTCTATTGAACTTTCTCTCTTGATATATATTGTATGATTGTCTTTACTAGACACACTAGGTCCAATTGATGGGTACACTTACCTACAACTAAAAAACAAATCGTCTCCAAAATTCCATCTGTCATATATTTGATATTGGAATGAGCATTATACACCATTATATCATGCTTGAATCTGTAGAAAAAAATCTGTTGTAGGGATTAAAATGAGTTTAATTATGAATGCTATTGATAAATGTATCTTAATCTCAATTCAATTATTTTTCCTTCTAACGAAGTCTCACCATTACTGTCATGCTCCCTTATACCTCTTCAATCATTTTAAGAATTTCAGGATTTCCACAATATCTATTTTCCCTTTTCTGACCTCATCTCCTACTCTTTCATTTTTGACTTAGCTATATTTGCTGTATTTGATAGCACCTTTCTCTTTATTATCCTTTCTTCAATTGGATCCCAATGTTGCACACTTGTAGCCTTATTCTCACCTTCCTGGCTGCCTCTTTCTATCTCTTGTTTTCTGATTTCTTTCCATCCACCTAATGTCCAGGTTTTTGTCACTCTCTTTTGAAATCTTTATTTCTATTATTATGATTTACCTTCATTCCTTTGGAAAACTCATCCAGTCTCAAATGCCATATTACACAAATAATTTGTTGTTGATTTTTGTTTGTTTAGTGACATTCCTGGACTAGTTTATTTAAGGCTTATTCTCCTTGATGTATGGCCACTCAAATCATTGTTCAATGATCTAACTTGGTTAAGTCTTCCACCTTTCGTCTTTTGCTGACAGCTCCTGTGTTTGTGTCTACTCTTGCTTTCTATTCTCTAGTACTTTAAAACGCTTTCTTACCTTTAGTTCTTGCAATGACCTCAACATCAGCCAGAATTGAGAGATAAAGCGACTTCACAGACTTTTCCTGGACCCGCTCACAATCCACACAACCTCCTAGATCTCTCTATGTAGGAGCTTTTTAGTGCCCCTTAGGGACACCTGATTCCCCAGACCTTCATTTATAGTTCTTGCTTTTTATTGATCACCACTAGTTTCACAGCTTCAGACGATATGATTTGAACTATTGCTGTTCATTGTTTTTGACAATGCCCTTAGGTTAAAGCTCTTCTGAATGAAGGAGATTTAAGGTAGGAAATTATGACAAGTTCTGCAAATTCAGTGTTTCCATGGAGCTAAAAGATAGTGAAGTTCGTTGAAGATGAGGCTTTTTGTAGACAGGTTCATTCTGCCTACTCCAGTGGTCCCTCCACTGTTGTTTTTTGCAGCTACAATGGTTGCAAAGTAGCTATTATTTTTGAGGACAGTGCACAGTTAGGAAGATGGGAATGGAAATGGAGTAAATTAAAGTACCACAAAGGTTACTACTCTTACAAAGATTCAACTATTTTTATGGAATAAATGCTTCTTATACTGTAAAAACAAAAAAAAACCTGTAGTTGTGGAAAACAGTAATTTTGAAAGATCTTTTATTTTGGCATAAAACAGTGTAAATTCATTGTCTCACAGTCCTAGAGACTAGAAGTCCAGTGTCAAGGTGTTGGGAGGGCCATACTCTCTTGAAAGGCTCTAGGAGATAATTTCTTCTTTGTGTCCTCCTAGCTACCAGTGTTTGCTGGAAATCCTCAAAGTTCCTTAGCCTGTAGGTGCATTACTATGATCTCTGTCTTCATGATCACATGGCCTTCTGTGTGTCTGTCCTTTGTGTCTCCAAATGTCTCTATTTTATAAGGTCACCAGTCATATTGGATTAGGGTTTACCCTAATCTAATGTGACCTTATCTTAAATTGATTATACTTGCAGAGACCCTATTTCCAAATAAGGTCACATTTACAGGTACTGGAAGTTAAGATCATAAAAAATGTTTCCACAGAGGACCCAATCCAGCCCACTACCCTCTTTAATTTTTTGCAGGATCTGGTGTGCAGTTGTGATAAATTTTTTTTGAAGCACACCTTTTGCATCCTGCAGGTTTGGGGAGGATGTATTTCCATTATCATTTAGTTCAAAATACAATTTGATTTCAGTTGTGGTTTCTTATTTAGCTTATTAATTTCTTAGAGTGTGTTGCTGTTTTAAAACATTTTGGGATTTTTTGGTTGTCTTTTTGTGAGTGATTTTTGGCTGTTGGTGATCAGAGATTATACTCTATTCTTTCGTCATTTGAAATTGGTTGGGATTCGCTTTATGCTCCATCCTATAGTCCATCATATGGTCAGTTTGCTAAATGTTTTATGTGTGCTTGGAAAGAATATGAGTTCTGCAGTTGTTGTGTACATATGTGTTGATTAGGTAAATCTTTTTTATATAAGTTTATGTACTAGATTTTCAGTGACCCTTACACCATCATTCCAAAATCCTGCTTTCCAGACCTTATTATGGTTTCTTTAAATAATGATGTATTGAAGGTTTGGGTTATCAAGAGACAGATACCAAAGATATGCACTATCTCTTCATTCCTCATTTTGTTCAATACTAAGCAGTATATATAAATCTTCCATGCTACTTCATGGTTTCTGGTAAAAGTAGTACTTTTCAATGGCTTAAAATTGACATGGCTAATTTAATGGTGGATGTTTTGCACATATAAACTGATAAGTTTGTATTTAGTTTGTAATAAAGCTTAATTGGGATGATTGGATCTCTGTTTCGCTAGCAGAAATTCCATTATTATGTTTCTATGGAAGAAACTGTGGGCTCTCGATTATGTCACAGGAAAATAGCAGAATTACATCCTATTTCCTGATGTTGCATCTAGATTTCTGGAAAACCTACAAAGGTATTGGTATGTTTTTCTAAGAAAGATATACATTAGTCACAATCTGTTAATTACAATAGCTTCAAATTAAAAGTGAGCAATATTTTCAATATATGCTGTACTTGAGTGTGAAGGCACATTCTGGTCTAGTATAGGGATTTTCCTGATGGTTTTTCATTGATCTAAAAAGATAAAAATTCCCACAGAACTCTAAAGTAGAACCAGATGTAGGCCCAGCAGAAAACATGCAACTTACCACTCTGTTTAGGTTTGGTTTACTCCAAACTTATACAGCTCTCAAGATTCACCCAATCTATAGCACCAAGTTAAAAAAAATATTAAAAAAACTAACTAAATAGGGATATAAGAATACAGACACAACTGGTAATGCAATATATTTATTTTCCTGGAAAAGCTGTTAGTCATACCTCCTAAGGGTGCTAAAGGTTTCTTCACTTAACCTGAACTGATAAAACCAAGGATTCATTCTCTCTTGCCTAGAGTAGTGGGATATCCAACTCAGTGGTCTTTCTGCTTCATGCTGCATTCGGGACATCCATCTATTAGATGGGTCAACATGAATGGCTGAAACATTTTTAAGAATAATTTACCAGTGGTCTCCCTACTTAGAAGAAACCATGCAATTCTGGAAGCATATTTTTCCCAAGACTTTGTGACTATATCATAGGTACAATTCTTTTTTTTTAATATACTGAGCTGAAACTACATTGCCTATCTTATAGTCATTTTCCCAAAAATCACATTTTTAAAAAGTGTGTGTAAATGATATGTTCCCCATCTTATTAAAAATTTCTTCTATGGCTTTTTATCATATTACAATTGTAATTCCAACTACTTTCAATGATTTATAAAACCTCTCATTATACAACCTCTGACCATGTATGTCCTACCACTTTCTACCACACTAACTCTACCACATGGGCCAAGTTGGCAGTCTTGGTGCTCACAAACATACCAAGCTAATGCATGCTTTTGCTTTCTCTGCTCCCCCTGATTGGCACATTCCTCTGCAACACTTTATGTGGTTTATCCCTTCACCTCATTTAGGTTTCTGCTCAAATTTCACTTTCTCTTAGTGATTCCCCAGCCATCCTATCTATAAATAGTAATTTATGTAAAAAGAAAATGGATAAAACTGGGTGCTCAGATAAAGATTTACTTGGTTTGTGAGGGAATATTCCTTGAATGTAGAGTGAGGTAATATTAAACCTGAGAAATAAATGACAAGAAGGAGCCAGCTTTGTGAAAATAGATTATAAATACTGTTTCAGAAAAAGATAGGCTGAAAAATAGGTGATTGCCATAGACCTTGACAGCACGGATCTTTTCTCATACAATTAATTCTATCTAAAATGTCCCTCTTTTAGGCTTGTCTATTTCTTATCCATATTTTGAAATCCAACTTAAATGTCATTTCTCATCTGGAGGCTTCCATAGTTTTTTTCCCAAATGGTCTATGCTTCCCTATGCCTCTGTATCCTATATTTTATTGTGTATAAAATGCTTAGGTGGTGCAGTCATGTGGGGTGGTATATGTCTAATGAAGTCATATGGGAAGTTGCATGACTCTTATGTTTACTGATCAAAAATGAATTTATTTTTATGCTCAATGTGACAGAACAACTTTCTTGCACTAAAAAATTATGAAACGTCCTCTTCATATATCGTTAAAAGTGAAATAAATCATTCAGTAAGTCAGGAGAGTTCAACAGTGCTCTGATCTATCCCAAGACAATAACTTATATGCTTATGTGTGTGTGTATGTGTGTGTGAAAGTCTGCGTGTGTGTGTATACAGAGAGCCCATAAAGTCTGAAAATATTATATGAACTAGACTAGATTATTATATATCATTTCATCAGATTTTATAATCAAATTGTACAAAAAAATTCTAAATTCTAAAGTTCTATGGGCACCATAAATATAATTTATTTCAAAGAAGTGTGTGTGTGCCGGGGGTTTAGGGCATGTGTGGCAGACATGTTGTATGGCTTTGCTAGTATCTTGAACTTAGTCGGCCTATTGGGTAACCTAACACAGTGCTAGTGGTAATCATGGCAGATGTTAACAGATGTACAAAGAAAATGAAGATGCAGGGCAAAGCAATTGGAGGTAAATTACTGTGGGATAATAACTAAAATAGGCAAACAGTATTTTTAGTGTTTCATTATAGCAACCTTCTAGAGGAAGAAGTTAAAACTAAAATTTCAGCATTTTATCATACATGCAAAGCCTAAAAAAAAAGCTTTTTGAAGAAAAATTAAAAGGACACGAGATGAGGATGTAGTCAAATCTAGTTCGTATGTTGTAAATAAAGAACAGCATGACAAACAAAAGTATAGCAATTGAAATGTAGGATGATGGGGAAGTTCAGAGCAGAGCAGGATAGAGGTATTTTTTTCTTAGAATACTAATTTCAAAGACTTACCAGTTTCTTAAAGAGGAAGAACTTGAACTTTATGTAAAAAGAATTCTTGCAAATACTATTTTATATTATATATATATATATATATTTGTTCTTAAATTTACATGTGGTAGTATGTGAAGTTTTGTCTAGTGTTTTAAGTTCACAAAGTAAAAAAAAAAAAAAAACAAAAATCAAAAATGCTAGTGGAGAGAAAAAGGAAGATAAGGTTCTTACCATTGAAGTAAACTATCCTCTTTACCATTTACTAATTTTCTAATATTCCCAACTGCAGTTCAGGACTGATATGGAAATGTTATTTATACATGTGGGCTTTCTATATAAAGATTTTAAGATTTTAAGACACTTGCTTTGGCTTTTAATTTGGGCTGCCTGGATTCCAATTCACGTCTTAGCTATGTGACACAGTACAAATAATTTATGTTCTACAATTGTCACTTTCCTGATATTTAAAGGGTATCTGAAGTACCTGAAATCTCATGGTGTGATTGTGAGGATCAAATGATATACTTGATATATAGTATTCCACAGTGCATGGCACATGGCAAATTTTCAAAGTTGTAGTTATCTTTATTATTATCACATTTTCATGCTACTTATTGATATATAAAATAAGTTCCTATTTTCAATCCAGCTAAGAGAATAAACAAGAATGTTAACTAAAGTATGAAATATCAATCTAAGATATTGAAGGAAAATTTTCTGATCTTTATTTACATTTATAACCACAGTGTTCTAAACAATACCTTGCACTCAGTAAACATTTGCTCAATTGGACACAATTTAACAAAGCTACATTTCCATTGCTTATTAATATAATTGTATATCTAAATATGTGGGCTTTTTCCAGGAAAGCCAAATTTTGCTTTCCAAAAAACAATCTTCCTATACTGTTCAGATTTTTATTTGCTCTAAATCTAAATTTAATTGGTCCTAATAGAATCTTATACATTCTTTAGAGTAGCTTTGGATTTAATGCAGATGCCATGCAATTTTTATGCAAAGAAGAATTTTCTTTAATATTTTGAATGTTATACACCTGTTTTTCATGTTTACGTGAAGAATGTAAGAGGAAAAACTTTATGCCAATGGCTAATCATCAAAATTTTAGAGGTTGTGTTTCAGTGTTCATCAAGACTATAATTACTTTAGAAACAATTTCCTATTTCTTTTGCTTTTATAAATCAGCATTAAAAATTAAAACTAAACATTGAGTTGTTAATTTTAAAAGGAAAGCAAAATTTTATTTGTAAACAAATTTTGAATTTATTTAAAAGTACTAATAAAATATTTCATATGAAACCATAGATTACGTGTTAAATTGTGAATTCCCCTGAAATATCTTGGATTTCTTACCCCAAGTACCTCATATTGTGAACCTATTGGGTGATAGTATCTTTACAGAAATAGTCAGTTAAAATGAGGTCATTAGGGTGGTCCCTAGGTCCCCAATGCAATATGACTCTTGTCTTTTTTAAAAGGGAAACATTTGGACACAGGGATAGACAGGGAGAACCGCACATGGACATGAAAGCATAGATCAGAGTGATGCACCTATAAGCCAAGGAACACTGAAGATTGCCATGAAATCACCAGAATGAGGCATAAAACAAATCCTAACACCTTCGGAGGAAGCAAGGCCCTGCTGACACCTTGATATCAGACTTGTAGCCTCTGGAACTGTAAACAGAGCAATACATTTATATTTCTTAACCCACCCAGGTTGTGGTATTTTGTTATGGCAGCCCCAGGAAATTAATGTCCTATCCACTTGGTGCTGCATGCAGACCACTAGATGATTTAATGAACAGGAATGACTGTAACTATTTTAGGAATAAATTTACTAATTATCTCCTTAATCAGGCGAAATCAAATGACTATTGTAAGAACATACTTTTTTAGGAGTTGGTAAGTACATAATTTTATGTCTTTTATGTGAGCTCACAATCTTGAATTAACTAGTCTAAATTCTGTATTCATATACTATATGATATAACATCATATAATCCCTATTTTTTAATAATTTCTCATCTGTAATCCCTAGGAACAGGTAAAGTGAGACAGCTTTGGTTATCATGAAGCCTGTTGCAAGAAATATCAATCTCCCTGTCCAAATTGATGCCATGCTGATTAATGATAGCCTTAACTGTAAAATGGTGGCTCATTTCTGCAAAATGCTATTAAGTAAAGATCAAATTATCTGACATTTTAATGAAACTGAGGCTGGATAATCATCCATATTATTTCAAATTCAGAACTTCCTTTATATAAATATATATAAATAAATTATATATGTATATATAATGATATTCCAGTGTTTTAATATAACTATTTATGGGCAAGGGTTTGTTGTTTTCTATAGGACTATGACCAAGAATCATTCATTTTCATCAATAATCATTTGGTTTTTTATTAGTAAACACCTTATCCCACAAAAGAGTGTTCAAATACATCACTACATTCTAAAAATTAAAAAAGGTATACATGTATAGGCCAGTCAAGTGAAAAAAAGTAAAGTATTACTCATACTGTAAGCGCTAACTCTCTTTCTGCTCTTTCTGATTGTCCTCTGCAAAGCCCCAGAGGTCAATATTACATTAAATTTCATAGTGATAGTTCCATTACCTTCCATTAGAGTTTTGCCACTTTTATATATAAGTAATCATTTATCCTGTTTTGAATATTCCATAGCAGCATATGCATTCTTTGTGGACTTGCTCATTCAGTGTTAAGTTTTTGTGATTTGTCTATGTTAACGCATGTAGTGATTACTTGATTTCCATTGCTGTCCAATACATTAAAGAATATATGTACTGCCATTTCCTTTTAATGAACGTGTGGATTAGTTCCTTTTGTTTTTTGTTATTATGAACAATACTACTGTGAACACTTTAGGACGTGTATTTTGGCACATATACGTAAAACTTTGGATACATGCCTTGGAGTAGATTCAAGTCATTTTGCATGCATACGTTTTAATTTGACTAGGGGAAGTCTATTTTTCAAAATAGTTGCATCAATTTACACTTCAAGTATAAATGGATGAGTGTTCCCATTGCTTCCTATTTTTGTCTATATTAGAACGGATTCACTTTTTTATATTTATCCCTAACTATTACATTTCCAAGAAGATAAAAGCTTCTCCTAAAAGGGAAGTTTTGCAGAGGTGACATTTATGTTTGGTCTCTATAATATGATAGCATTAGATTACCAGAGCTAGCACAAAAGAGGATTAGAGTTAAAAGAACATCACCACTTAATTAAAGAAGTGACAAACAGGGTTGGGAGCAGAACTGTTTGGAAAATTGGGTAGCTAAAAATAGCAGTCTCGGTGTGGCAACATTAGAAGGACAGGTCATTTCCTCCTTCTTAAACAATTTGAAAGCCTTAAAAAATTTTATTATTCATTTGTATTTTTTTGTGAAATGCAAGTAATGAGCTGCATTTTTTTCATTTTGTAGCTTATCTTTATAGACTCCATATAGTGTTTTTGATAAACAGATAATTTTAATATACAAATTATAAATATTTTTCTTTTTGCTTAAACATGTTGTTTTCTAAAAGAAATTCATACTTTCATCTCAAAAAGCCCACTTTTTTTTAAGTTCTTCCTTTGACATTTATATCCACAATTCACTTTGAACTATTTTTTTCAAATATTTAAAGTTTAAGGAGGAAAAATTACATTTTTTCCAAATGTATAATTGTATTGGTCTTCTTGGATTGCTATAACAGAATAACATAAACTGTATGGTTTAAACAACAGAAATTATTTACACAGCTCTGAAGCATGGAAAATCTAAGATCAGGTTTCCGGCTGATTCAGTTCTGTGGTCACCTTCATCTAAATCTAATTACCTCCCAAAAGCCTCATCTCCACACATCATGACATTGGGGATTAGGACTTCGACATATAAATTTGGGGGAGGAGGACACAACATTCAATCCATAATAAACAATTATTCATACATAAATTATTGAATAGGCCATTCTTTGTTTTCTTCAACTGCAATACTCATGCTTGTCATTAATAACGATTATACATATGCATTGATTGAATTTGTCATTTTCTATTACTCTATATCTACAATAAATCACATTGCCATAGTTGTGATAGGTTTTAATAAGCTCTGATACCTAATGGGGTAGGTTCTCTCAACAACTTGTACACTAGTATGTTAGATCTTATTGCTGTACAATTTTTACTACTAATGTGACATTGGTTTTAAATTATATTTTAAAACATTGGGATTCTAATTGGGATTGTGCTGAATTCATAGATCAAATTAAATATTTTAAAAAATCTTTAAAATACGGACATTTTTAATCTAAGAACAACAAAGTTTGTCTATTTTTTAGCATGTTTTAATAAAATGTAATAATTCTCCTACAAAAACTTTGAATATAGTTTATTTCTGTCTACTTAATATGGTGATTGTCAATGCTGTCTTTTTTTGGTATTTAAATAGTTTTAAAATCTTTTTAGGTCAAAAATTACCATAATTTTGTGCTCATGGCAGATTTCAAAGACAGACTTGAAGCAGAAAATCTTTAAGGGACTCTTGCATAGCCAGAAGTCCTTTTCAGGCTGATGTACGTAAAATATTTAGTAGCCAGGGCAGTGGAAGGTCTGATGAGTGAGAGGAGCTCCCAGGGCCTGGAAAGGCCACTTTGTAAGCTCATTCTTGGGGTCCCGTGGCTCTGTACCTGCAGCTGGCTGTAATCAGTAGTGGCTATGGAGGATCTGGGGTATCAGGTAGGTGTCCAGCTCCTGGCACTGGTAGAGTGCTACGCTGCTATCTTTTTTAAAATGCAGTAATTTATTGTTGGTAGATAGAAATGTATTTGTATATAAACCTCCTATACAACAAACTGTGCTTCTAAAGTCCAAGTACCGGTGTTTATTCATTTGTGTTTTTAGTATATATTTGATACATGTGAATAAATAGGTTTCTATCTTCCCTTCCAATTTTTATGCTTTTTATTTCATATTCTTTTACCTCAGAATTTAGAACCTCTGGTGAGTATTAAATAGTACTGGTGAAAAATGATCCTTATGTAAAGATAATATTTCATCATTTCATGAAGAGTAATATTTGTCTTAAAACTTTGGTAGATAATATCTGTTCATATAATGAAACTATCAATCATTCATAATTTGCCATGAGATTTTTTTTTTAATCTTTGAGCAGATTTTTAATTTTACCAGTCATTGTTTAGCAACCATTGAAAGTTTTGTATTATGGTGAATAATAATGCTAAATTTTAAAATAATTTGAGATATTCTTCTTACATAAAAACAATTTGGTCAATATATATTATTTTAATATGCATTATTGAGATTTATTTTTTTAATGTACACATGAATTTAAGTGAATACTTTGCATAATTTTGGCAAATGTAAGCACTTGTTAAATATAACAGTAACCAAGATATAGAAAATTTTCAACACCTAAGAAACATCTCCTGTGCTCTTTTCCAATAAATCATTCCCACACTTCTCACCTCAAGCAACTATTAATATGATTTCTATTAATATGAATTATTGTTGTCTGTTATAGAACTTGCCTATTGTAGAATAGGGTCATAAAATTGTCTTCTTTATTGCACAGATTCTTATGCTCAGCATAAAGATTTTCAAGTCAATTCATGCAGCTGTGGACACCAGGAATTCCTTCATTGTATTACTGCCTAGTATATCGTTATATTAATACCTCATCTATCTTTATCCATTCTCTTGTTGATGAATAATTGGTTTGTTTCCAGCTTTGTTTATTATGAACATTGAGCATTGTGCTATGAGCATTGCATACATGTATTTTGTGATGTATATTTTTATTTTTCATGAATGTTTAGGAGTGGAATTTCTTATGGTAATTATATACTTTACTCCATAAAACTCTTTGCCAAAGTGTTTGTATAACTTTACATATCCAGGAAGAGTGTATCTGATGTCCAATTGTTCCATATATTAATTAGCAATTGGCATGTTAAGTCTTTAATATTAAACCAGATTCTAGTTGGGGTGAGGTGAAATCTCATTATGTTTTAAATTTAAACTTACCTCATAAATAAGGTGTTGAACATTTTTTTATGGTCACTTTGTATAAGAAAGTTTCTATTCAAGTCTTTTATCCATTTTTATTGGGCGTTTCATTTTTACCAAATTTGAAGGGTTCTTTATGTATTCTGTAAATAATTTATTTTTCAGTTTAATATTTTGGATATATTGTCTTTTTAATCTTTTTTATTACTTAGTGTCTTTTTATTTTCAAAAAGTTTAATTTTAATAAAGTCTAACTTATTTTCTTTTATTTTGGCATTACTAATTTTCTATTCTAAGAAATCTTTCCCTAAACCAAGGATGCAGATATTATATTCTCCACTTTCTAGATTTTAGAAGTTGTATAGTTTCATATAGGCAGCTTTACTTTCAAGACCATAATCCTTTTAAAATTACTTTTTGTTTATGCTTTAAGGTAATGATTGAGAATCATTTTTTCCCTATGAATATAACCATGTAAATAATTTTATATGGTTAATATTCCTAAGTTTTATTCACATATTTATCAATCTTTCCTAAAATATCTTCTCTTCAGATATTTTCAGCTGCTTATTGTTTTTGCTGATTTTAATTTACTGTGTTTTGTGTTCTTTTTGTGTCCTTTTATATTTTATGGCATTTGATTTTGCACTAGTCATGTTCCTTGGAACTTTCTCTGAGCAAATTTTTTAAAGGTAGGGCTTACTTTGTTTCTGCAGGTCAATTCATCAGACCTGCAGAAAGCATCAATGAGCTTTTTCCTTCTGACTAGAGGGCATTCCTTAGATTTTCTTTTATTGATAAATGGGATTTTTATTGTCTGAAAATGTCTTTATTTTACTTTTGCCCTTGAAAAACAGTTTTTATGGAATACAATTCTGGGTTAATCGTGTTTTAGCTTATCAACTTAAAAAAATCACTTTTTCTAAATTATTGCTATTGAGAAGTTTGTTGTTCAATTATTATTTCTGTTTGGTTTCTAGTTTTTTGTTGTCTTTTTATATTGTAGATACAGGTGTAATTACTTTTTCTATTCTCTAGCTAGTATTACAGGGCTTTATGAATCTGTGAATGTCTTTAATTAATTCATTAAGAATCTCATTTCTACTTTTTTTTAAACACTGAGTAGAATTTTACATTCTCATTACCTATTTCTTGATCTTTGTTTTTTTATACCTACCGTCTTTTATAACTTTTATTTTTTTATGGAAAATTTCTTCAGAAATCTATTTTAGTTAACTGATTTTCTCTTCAACTAAGTCTATTAAGCTATAAATTTTGTCCTTGATTTTAAATATTTCAACAATTCTGATTTTCATTTCTAGATATCCTTTTGGTTTATTATAAAATTTTATTTGCTTTTCCTTATTTTTAGTTCTGTTTATACTTTCATATTTTTATTTTAATTTTTTAAAACGTATTGGCCAACATTTAAAATTTTTTTTTCTGAAAATTTTGTTACCTGAAATCTTCTCTTCAGATATTTTCAGCTGCTTATTGTTTTCGCTGATTTAATTCACTGTGTGTGTTGTTTTGGGTCTTTTTTGTGTTTTGTAGCATTTGATTTTGTACTGATTGTATTCCTTGACACTTTTTATGAACAAATTTTTAGAAGCTAGGGCTTGATTGTTTCTACAGGTTAATTTATTTCTCAAGAGTGATTAGTGGTACTACCAATCTGAAATTATTTTATATTAATTTATTTGAAGTATTTCAACTGCTCTGTGGCAATTCAGTGATTCCATCCATGTCAGCGTTTGAGGTAGTATGAATTCTCAGGGGGAATTCACCCCTTCTATTCTTTAGTGCCATAGTTGAAATAAGTGAGTTTCTGTCCTATACCTTTTGTTTAGGGATTTTTTTAAAACTATTTTACCTCTATAATGAGATGCTTTTGTCTTCCAACTTAACTAAGATGTCTTATTATACTTTCCACATTGGGTAGAGTCTAGGTTTTATATTTTGTCCTTCTTTTAGTATGTACAAACTAGTTCAGTATTCCAGGAGTTTGAGAGGAACTCATGCTGAAAAGCAACTTTGGTGCTCTTTTAATACCTTTTAAGATCTCTGCCTATTCTTTGGTTTGGAATCATAGCTTACTCTCTACTGTCAACTCAGAAAGTTTTGAAAAAGAGTACTGAAATGTTTCATTCCTTATAGTAATTTCGTTTTAAACAATGAGAATCCTGTAAATCTGCTCTATATGATAAATGGCTATGTGCTCATTTTAAATCATCTGAAGTAAAATAATTTAAATTTTTTCATATAAATTTTGGTTATCAGGATTATCAGAAAAATAATGTGTACGTTTCTACAAAATATCTGTTTAATACATAAATGCTATCCAATGTTAAAAATATAATCTGAAATCATATATATTTTTTTAAAAATAAAATCTTGGAAAATATTTAATAGTTAAAGATATATAGCAGTAACTTTATTAGAAGATTGAGTTGGAGCATATTTAAATAGTTTATTTCTCAAATTAGTAACTTTAATTAATATTTATGAATCAAAGACTAAGTAAAGTAATGCTAGCTAACAATTACTCTGTACCTTGTATTATGTTGTTACAGGATCATTGGGATGTCACCTTGCCAGCCACAAACATCTGTGGCCAGTGGCATCTTTGCCTGATTTTTGCTCTGGCCCACTGGGCTCATTTTGCCCACTCAGCCTGGCAGGCTGCATTCAGCTCCTGCTACCATCCTGGATCCCACACTTGCTAAGGCTGAGCCAGGTGCACAGCAGCAAGAGATGTGAGCAAGCGTAGGGTCCAGCCACTGTGCACAGCCAGGCACACTGGCTGTGAGAGGGTGGGCAGCTCCAGGCATGAGCATGGGTGTCAGCTCCCTGTGAGGCTGCGACTGGACCAGGTGTTCCATAAGCAGCTTCTACAGCTGACACTGGGGAATGCTGTGTGGCACCTGGAAGCTTGGAGATGCCAGGAACCACAGAACCCTAAAGAGGAAGTCACAGCCAGGCTCTGGGAGCTACTAGCTCTGGGCTACCCAAAGAGCTGCAGCTCTTCTGTCCTTCTCTCATCTCTCCTTGTTGCCCATAATGTGGTGGGCAAGAGGCATGTTTCATCCCTGTTTGTGTTATAGCTCTTTTAGCCCTGCCATTTGGCAGGTCTGGCGTTCTTATCCTGTGTCTAGGAAGAATGGGGTATGCAGACAAGTGGAGGGTGAGCAAGACAAAGAGGAGCTTTATTGAGGATAGAACAGCTCAGAGGAGACCCAGAGTGGGCAGCTCCTCTCCATAGGTAGGGTGTCCCAATAAGTGTTCAGCTCTCAGCAGAGAGGGTAGTTCTTCTCTTCAGCTGGTTGTCTCATCAGTTCTTCAGCTCTCAGAAGAGAGGGTAGCTCTTCTCTGTCAGGCTGGTCATCCCAATGAGTATCCAGCTCTCAGAAGGGAGAGTAGTTCCTCCCTGCAGCTGGCCATCTCATTATCTCCTGGAGTCTGGCTGAGTCTGGGGCTTTTATAGGCCTCAGAGGGGAGGAAATGCGTGCCAGCCTATTGATAGGCTATGGGCTGCCGGGACCGGCTTGGTCTGGGAGACCCTAATCCAGTGGCACTAGAGGAATTAAAGACACACACACAGAAATAGAGAGGTGTGGAGTGGGAAATCAGGGGGCTCACAGCCTTCAGAGCTGAGAGCCTCAAGATTTATCCACGTATTTATTGACAGCAAGCCAGCAATAAGCATTGTTTTCATAGATTATAGATTAACTAAAAGTATTCCTTATGGGAAACAAAGGGATGGGCCAAAATAAAGGGATGGGTTTTGCTAGTTATCTGCAGCAGGAGCATGTCCTTAAGGCACAGATTGCTCATGCTATTGTTTGTGGTTTAAGAATGCCTTTAAGTGGTTTTCGACCCTGGGCGGGTCAGGTGTTCCTTGCCCTCATTCTGGTAAATCCACAACCTTCCAGCGTCAGCTTCATGACCATCACGAACATGTCACAGTGCTGCATAGATTTTGTTTATGTCCAGTTTTGGGGCCAGTTTACAGCCAGATTTTGGGGGACCTGTTCTCAACAATGGGCCTGCCCGGAAAAGGCACCACAAGTTCCCACTGTGTTCTGCAGGACAGGCAGCTGGGCCCCTAGGCTTCAGGCCCTTCTCAGCTTGAAGGAAGGGCTTCACCTGGGACCCCCCCCTCCCCTTCCAGAAGCCTGTCTGCCTCCTGCCTGCTTTCATAGTGCCTAGGCTGTTTGTACCAAGGGGTGTTTGCAGGCCAGTGCTGAGCTGCCCTCAGCACCCCCTGGCCACCCTCCATGATTGTTGGTGCCCAAAATCCAGAGGGGGCCAAGGTGGCAGGGGGCTGGTGTGTCAGCCCTGCTTTGAGCATGTGCACACTCAGCTGGGTTGCGACAGGACCTGTGGGCTTGGCCTCAACTTTACTCCATGATCAGAGCAGGTGGCTACAGCAGCCAGAGGCCAGACAGTGGGAGCAGATACCTCCAAGCCTGCGAGGGCAAGACCGGGAGTTCCTGGGCCCCTGAGAGTGCAGAGATGCCTAGGTCCACAGCTGCAACTTGGACAGCTGCAGCCCCACCAAGGAGGGCAGGGGTCCTGCCTCCTCCCAGCTCCTGCCGGCTTTGTGGAGTGCAACACTGCCCTGGGCCCAGCTCTTCCCCAGGGCCCCTCTCTGCCCACCTCTTCATGCCTGACTGCACTAATCCCCTGCCTGTGGGCAACTAGGCCTGGCCCCATTGCCGTGGCTCTCTGTGTGGTGGGACAGGTGCAGGTTGCATGGCGGCCCTGTCCAACCCCTCACAAACAAACCTGACACTCCTGGGACCAGTCCTGCAAGTCCTGCCTGCATCTTCGGCCAAGTGCACGCAGGCCCCCAGGATGCAGCAGGAAGCAAGGTTGAGGCCATGGCAGAGGCTCTGGGCCTGGGAGCAGATCCTTCCCAACCATGCAAGGGTAGGGGTGGTGCAGTAGGCTTCCTCAGAAACATGGGGCACAGGAGACCCACTGCCACCACTGCTGCTTCTGCAGCCACTCCTGCTGCCTCCACTTATGCCTCCCTGCTGCAGCTAGTACGATGGCAGCAGTGGCTTCACATGGCCTGCTGCTGCCATCAATGTTAAGCATTCTACATTAATATCCTCATTTAATTATTATAATATACTTAAGAGAAACAAACCCTCCTTATCCTCATGACACAGATGAAGAAACTAAGGCTAAGAAGAGTTAACTGTGGTATGAAAGTTTATAGAGGAGTTATGTAAAAAGCTTCTAAAACTCATATCTGTTTTGCTCCATAGAGTGAAAGTTTAAATAGTACAATATGCCAACTTTGCATATAAGACACTGTGTGAAACATTAAGGGTGATATGTGTTTATATTAAGGAAACTATCACGTATTTGTTGATGATATATGTAAAATAAATATTATATTCACTGGTATATATAGGTATATATTTTACATATACTGTATGGTATATTATACATATTTATGTATAATATGTATGAGTATATGTCCATTTATATTAATATTTGTATATATGTTATATATATGTATATTTATATATTTATATATTTTTTCTAGGGCTATCATAGCAAATACCACAGACTGGGTGGCTTAAGCTATAACAATGTATTGTCTCACATTTCTGGAAGCTAGATGTCTGAGATCAACATGTTAGTAGTGTTGGTTTCCTCTGAGGCCTCTCCTCTTGGCTTGTAAATGGCCACCTTCCCTCTGTATCTTGACATGATCATCCTTCTGTATGTGTATTTGTCTCTAGTCTCCTCTTCTTATAAAGACACCAGTCACATTGGTTTAAGCCTATCCATATGATCTCAAATTTAATTTAATTTCATCTTTATAGTCTCCATCTTCACCACAGTCACACTGTGAGGTACTGGCAATTAAGACTTCAATATATGAATGTCGAGGAGACACAATTCAGTCCATAACTATATATGTGGATATATGCATACTCATAAAGTGCAATAAATAGTATCAGAATGTATAATTATAAATGATTAACACTCTGTACATGCAATTCCTTCTAAGAAGCAATGATTGATAATTTTAAACTGTGGCTTTGAAGAAGGCTTTACAGAGGAGGTAGATTGAGACTGGACATAAGAGATGTTAGTGGCTGTGATGGAAGGGAGAGACATCTGTGCTGGGAGAACTATTTAAATGCGACATTGACATGCGAAAACAGGAGCTGTATTCAGATGACAATGACAATGAATTTAGTGATTTAGCCTGAATAAAAGATTGGTTTGTGACATGACAAGAGGGAAGGGTGATTTGATACCAATTAATGGACAGCTTGAATTCCAGAATGAGAAATGTTTATGTTGTTCTGCAGGAAAAGAAAAACTTCACAGTTAAACACCAAAAAAGTTTGTTTGTTTTCTGCTGGTTTTACTGTATTCTATTCTGCATCAAAGAAAGGGCTACCCTTACTCCTTTCCTAGGCAAATCACTCCATCTGCACACTATGAGTTACATCCCTGCCTGCCACCTCTGAAAAGTTCTGACATTAGTTACATTTTCAATCTCTGAATTCTTCAATTTCTACCTTGTCTTTTTTTTTTTTTTGTCTTTTAAAAGTCAGTACATCTTCTGGGGAAAAATAAAACAGTCTCCTTTTTCTTGGCCTCAGTCGTATAATTTTCCTTGCTTATGAATACACCAAGCTCTTACTTCCCATTTTTTAGCTTCTTTTTTTCACTTCTCTTTCCTCTGCAAGCGACTAATATTCACTCTATGAATATTAACCTTACCAGGGTCCCCAATTTTCAAATTCCGTAACATCTTTTCAGACCTCATGCGGCTCAGTCTACCATCATCATTCAACACAGTTGACAGATATAAGGAAATGCATGGATTTTATAATTAAGCACAGAATACTTAATGATCTTGATCAATTTTTATAACCTCTAAGAGCCTAAATATAGTAGTGATATCTAAATAGGGCTATTGAGAAAATAAAATGAAGAAATTTATGAAAGGTTTATCACAGTGTGTGATTCAGAATACACATTAAATAAGCAGTAGCTAATATTATCTTAACAGAATTATCACTTCCCGCTGTCTCTAATTTGGGTCTTTTAATGCTTCATTTTAGCTTCAAATTCCTGATATAAGAGCCTCTTCCTACCCTATGCTAATAATTATTAGTAACTTGAGTGTAGAGGAGAAAGATCCCTCATAAGGTTATAAAGTTATGTGGAATGCTAAGACATGAAGAGCAAAGCGGTATTATTATATATATATTTTTTAACCCCACCAAGAAACTGCCATTGTAAGTTGTGTAGGGGCTGCTGTGCTGGGTCTGTTCATGAGTTACAAGTCAGTCATTTAAAGTCTTGTACCACAAGGACTATTTCTTCCAAGCTACTGTCTCTAACACTCTGTAGGCAAGAACTCCTAAATATGGGACCCAGTATTTATATGTTAGTCATAGGATCTTTTCCATATGTCCCATCTCTTTTTTCTTCCCTGGTAAAAATCCCTTCCTCTTTATGTCCTCACTCAAGAGCTCTCATTTAATTGTTTTAATCTATAAATTGGAGCCTGGTTAACCATTCAAAAGAGATGGTAAGATAGATGGTAATCTACCATAAAGTTTAAATGAAATTTCTTCTTCCTCCCTAACATACTCTTAGCCTAATCACATTTAACACACACATTGTTTAAGGGCTCAGGCCTTCTCTTGCTCTATGTGCTTACCATCCTGCTGTCCAAGGACATTTGTTATATTGAATGATCTGACTTCTCTCATCTTTCATATCTCAGCTTCCTTGTCAACACTTTCTATAACTTCTTTATCAAAGAAAATTTCTTATATTATTTGTTATGTAAATAACCTTTTGTGGAACTTACCACAATTGCAATTTTATTCCTATTTCTGTGATTAGTATTCCCTAAGTTTTATAAAAACAGGGCCTTTGTTCAGTTTAGCCAGTCTCATATCCAAAACCTAAGATGTAGCCTTCCACAATAAAGTGATTCTAAATGAAAAAATGAGCTCTAGTTCTTAACAACAAAAGAACTCTTTATCCTACTCAGAAGAGAGTTTTGTCTTTTGAAACACAATGAATGCTCCACCCTCCTAGAGAGCAGTTGAAATGATTTCATTCTCTCCTTGAGTTATCTGAAGGATCCAAATCTCTACTCTTATGAACAGATCTAATGGCTACTTTCTAAAACAGAAACATTAAATAAAATGCCCTCTGTTTGCTTCTCTCTCTCTGTCACTCTCTCTCTCTCTTTTTTATTTTTATGATTTGGTATACAATTAAATAAATAATATATTGACATGAAAGTTTCTTTCTTTATGTTCTTTAACACTTGCTCCTAGTATTCTTCCCGCTTCATTAATTGCTCTATGCCAAACTATGTAACTGAATTTTAAACAAAATTATTAGTATTGCTCTTTTAAATGCTAATATAATCACATTTTTCTGCTGAGTCTTTCTGTGGTTTCAGTTATGTTTATAATTATATGTATTCATGTTTACATGAATGAATATTAATTTTCTAACAAATATATAGTTAGAGAAAACATATGTACATGCACACACACACAATTCAGTTATCAAATAGAATGTGTGGACAGAATTTCCTTTTTTTAGAGGAAAATAAAAAGCATTTGCCGTGATTATATTTAGAAATTGCAATTAAGCAGTGGTTTGCCAGCACAGTACCTTCTTCTTAGTAGTTTTGGTGTCAGTATCACTGGAGGAATGTAAAATGGGTGAAGACTGAAAATTTCAGTACCAGGGGAAGGGAATAGGTAATGCAGTCGACACAAGCCCAGCTCAATAAATATGTTTTGACCAGCATTGAAAAAGATTTAGTGTTTGCAATTTCTCAACATAATAATCCATCTCTCATAATAAGCCATATTGTAACAGATGAATACATTGGATTGTAAACCCTACAAATATGGTCCTAACTCTCAACTCTGATTTAATTTTAGACGTAGGCATCTGGCAACCTTATACACTTTCTATAGGCTTGGGATCTGTAAGCAACTTGAGATTAATAACATGAACCCATAAACTCCAGAAAATGTACCAAGATATATCTTTCCACTCTTACATCTGGCAGTGAGATAAATGATTCCCATGTGTTCTCCTTATGTCTACCATGGCAAAACAAAACATACAAAGATAAATATTTTATCAATGCTACATTTCAAGTGGTGGAAGCCTGATGGAAAATGTTCTAGGAGAACAGGAATGCTGATGATAGCTAGAAAAACCCATAAAAGATAGAAAAATTATGGGTCCCCTCTTAACCAGCTTTGTATATTTCTCTATACTCTAACTAAAACAGCATTTTCAAAATTTACATTTTCCATGTCAAACATCCACTATTAATAAAAACAAAAACCAACTTCTAGTAGTTTCCCATTGCTCTTTGCATAACATATGCTGTCTTTAACTTGGTCAATACACCGTTGCATGATTTCATCTCCTTGCCTTTCTCTCCAGTTCTATCTCCCAGGTTTCTGATTGGTATTTCATTTGATATTCCATTCCAACTGGCCTCTTCAAAGGATTTTTGAATGTGCTATTCTTGCTCTTTGTTTTGCCCGTCACTGCATCCACTTAGGTAACACTTATATATTATTTATATTTCAGAATAGAAGAAATTTTTCAAGATAAACCTATGCATGCTTCTCTGTTTTATACTTTTACCTGATTATATCTTAGTATTATTTCTGTTTGTGAGTGTATTATTATTTTAGCTATGATTTATTTAATATGAGTGTTTGACACTGGATGCAATAATTAGTAGGAAGAGTCATTATTTTTTTTATTGCTCTATTGCCAGCACCAGTCACTTTCAATTGATCAATAAATGTTTATTCACTGAATGAATGAGCTTTAGCTGTGATGCTTAATTCGGAAAACACGGGAGAAAATAATATTTGCCAAGAAACTTTTATTTAAGGTTTCTGTGTCTTATGCTGAAGAAAATATATTATTATTTATTTATTTTTAATTAACCCTAATAAAGATTTTATATTTTTGAATGAAATTAAGATTCTGAATCCTGTGGTGTTACTCATTATTTTCTGGTGTGCAAAAAGTAACATTAAAAAATAGTATCAATATAAGTCCTCAATTACAAATTATTTAAAAGCTGTATTTTTAGAGCTACAGCTGTTATATTCCTGTAGTTTTAAGGCCAACTCTATAAGTTAATTATATGACAAATACTAAAAAGCAATAGAATCTGGTTTTATAGATAATAGATAAAACTGAAGTGATTTTGTTTTAAGAAATGCAATTCTTTCGTGTCATAACATGTCC
Organism: Homo sapiens; assembly: GCF_000001405.40. Classification (NCBI taxonomy): domain Eukaryota; kingdom Metazoa; phylum Chordata; class Mammalia; order Primates; family Hominidae; genus Homo; species Homo sapiens. The sequence goes on along the minus strand of NC_000004.12, from coordinate 132,953,064 downwards.
ATGAGTGTAATGAGATTTATTTTCCCCTCTCATTCTATTATAGTATAGTCCTCAGCTAAAGAAACGAAGTTTCTTATGTTTCATTAGTCCCATTAGTACTGGGATAAAAGGTGCTTTCAGTCAGAATGCAAATAATTGCCAACTGCACTTGGTTGATGCCATGACAGTACTTCCCAGCAGTATCACCTCATAGAAGCTCATTTTTGAAGTGACACTAATATCAATGTATTTCATAAAATTTAATAAGATTTAACATATAGTTATTTTGAAACACACATATCACCTATAAGGAAAGGAGAGTTTGACATAGCTTATTTTATTTTATCAGGCATAATTTATCATTACATTACCAAATTGTTGTCTATTTTGAAAATTAAGCATGTTTAAGCTCTTCCCATGTATGATTGTATACAATGGAAAATAAAAAATTTAATAGCAAAAAATTTACCCTTTTGAAGTTATGTGTTTCAAAACAGCTTTAGATATATCAAATGTAGTGTCATATTTAAACTTGTTACTGCTAGACCATGTGTAATGAAGAGGCCAAGGTAATATGTAATAACAACTCAAAATGACCTTAATACTAAACTTATTGGAAAATTTATTGCAAATTCATTTATACATGAGTAATCAATAACACACCCTTAAAATGACTAAAATCTTGATGAATTACCGGATTTTGGTTAGAGCAGTAGCATTTTGTCCCACCAGAGGAACATTTTATTAAAATATTAAACAGCACTTTTTATGGTTTGCTTTAAAGATATTAAGAATATAAAGAAGGCTATCAAACAAGCCTGGAAATTAAGAATGGAAATAAACTGATTAGGCTCTCCTACTGCCCATCTCTCTCAATCACTAGTTGGCATCCAAATGAACATGTGTTGACACAAATTTTAAAAATCCAACTAAATCTAGGAGATATAGTGCGATTCTAATTATTCCACAAAGTATCATTAAGACAAAAGGTCTTATAATCATTGTTTTTTTTTTGTCTTTTACTCAAATAACTGCATCTAGGAGATATACCCTTATCACTTATCCATTTATGTAGCAGCACTCAATAGTTTGATTGATGAGTAGATTAATTTACAATAGACAACAATACTCCTACATATACCAAAACAAATTTCCAACAAAAGTGTATCATTTTCAAGTGGGAATAATTATTTTAAAAGACTAAATACCAAATTTATTACAAATAAGCAAATTTGGCCATATTGTTTCTAGTCAAAGATGCTATAAAGAAATTTCAAATCTGGTGATTAAGCCCTCTGATTCACTAAACTTAGGATGCTGAAGCACAAAAATCATCATTATCTGAAACTCATATTTACAAAATTTCATCACTTTACTGAGAGAATTGTATTTTTTGGTCCTTCTTTCTGTTGGTTTGATGTTTCACAGTTATTAATTTGTGTATGTTGACCCATCCTTGCATCACTGAATTTGGTTTGCTGGTATTTTCTTGAGAATTTCTACATTTATGTTTATCAGGAATATTTGCCTATAGTTTTCTATTTTGTTGTGTCCTTGTCTAATACCTTACGATAAGGGTGATGCTGACCTCTTACAATGAGTGTGGGAGTACCTTCTCCTTTTCAATTTTCAAATAATTGGTATTAATTGTTCTTTAAAAGCTTGGTAGAATTCAGCAGGGAAACCATCAGTTCCTGGGCTATTTTCTTGTTGGGACACTTTATATTACTGATTCCATCTTGTTTCTTATAATTGCCCTGTTCAGGTTTTCCATTCCTTCTTGGTTTAATCTTGGTAGGTCGTATGTGTCCAGGATTTTTTTCATTTCCTCTAGGCGTTCCAATTTCAGTTTGTGTGTGGGGTATAGATGTTCATAATTGTTTTTAATGAGTCTTAATATTTCCATGGTGCCATTTGCAATGTATTTTTTTTCATTTCTCATTTTACTTATTTGGGTCTTTTCATTTTTTTCTTGTTATTTTTCCTAATTGTTTGGTGATTTGGTTTATCTTTTCAAAAATCCAATGTTTTTATCTTGTTGATGTTTGTCTTTTTTTTTTTCTTTTTTTTGGTCCCAGTTTCACATATTTCTCTCTGGTCAGGTCTTTATTACTTGTTCCTTTTACTAATTTTGGGTTTGGTTTGTTTTTTCTGTCTTAGTGCCTTGAAATACATCATTAGGTTGATTTAAATTTTTCTAATTTTTTGATGTAGGTTATATGGTTTGGTTCTGTGCTCCCACCCAAATCTCATGTTGAATTTTGATCCTGAGTGTTGGAGGTGGGGCCTGGTGGGAGGTGATTGGATCATGGGGGTGATTTCTAATGGTTTTGCACCATCCCCCTAGTGCTGTCTCATGATAGATTTCTCATGAGATCTGGTTGTTTGAAAGTGTGTAGCACTTCCCCCCTTGCACTCTCTCTCTCTCTCTCTCCCCTTCTCCACTATATGAAGATTGTAACTGCTTCCCCTTTGCCTTCCGCCATGACTTTAAATTTCCTGAGGTCTCTCGAGCCATGCCTCTTGGACAGCGTGTGGAAATGTGAGGCAATTAAACATCTTTTCTCCCATAAAGTACCCAGTCTCTGGTATGTCTTTTTTTTCTTTCTTTCTTTTTTTTTTTTTGCTTTTCTTTCTTTTTTTTTTTTTGCTTTTCTTTTTTTTTATTATACTTTAAGTTTTAGGGTACATGTGCACATTGTGCAGGTTAGTTACATATGTATACATGTGCCATGCTGGTGCGCTGCACCCACTAACTCGTCATCTAGCCTTAGGTATATCTCCCAATGCTATCCCTCCCCGCTCCCCCCACCCCACCACAGTCCCCAGAGTGTGATATTCCCCTTCATGTGTCCATGTGACCTCATTGTTCGATTCCCAGCTATGAACGAGAATATGCGGTGTTTGGTTTATTGTTCTTGCGATAGTTTACTGAGAATGATGATATCCAATTTCATCCATCTCCCTACAAAGGACATGAACTCATCCTTTTTTATGGCTGCATAGTATTCCATGGTGTATATGTGCCACATTTTCTTAATCCAGTCTATCATTGTTGGACATTTGGGTTGGTTCCAAGTCTTTGCTATTGTGAATAATGCCGCAATAAACATACGTGTGCATGTGTCTTTATAGCAGCATGATTTATAGTCATTTGGGTATATACCCAGTAATGGGATGGCTGGGTCAAATGGTATTTCTAGTTCTAGATCCCTGAGGAATGGCCACACTGACTTCCACAATGGTTGAACTAGTTTACAGTCCCACCAACAGTGTAAAAGTGTTCCTATTTCTCCACATCCTCTCCAGCACCTGTTGTTTCCTGACTTTTTAATGATTGCCATTCTAACTGGTGTGAGATGATATCTCATAGTGGTTTTGATTTGCATTTCTCTGATGGCCAGTGATGATGAGCATTTTTTCATGTGTTTTTTGGCTGCATAAATGTCTTCTTTTGAGAAGTGTCTGTTCATGTCCTTCGCCCACTTTTTGATGGGGTTGTTTGTTTTTTTCTTGTAAATTTGTTGGAGTTCATTGTAGATTCTGGATATTAGCCCTTTGTCAGATGAGTAGGTTGCGAAAATTTTCTCCCATGTTGTAGGTTGCCTGTTCACTCTGATGGTAGTTTCTTTTGCTGTGCAGAAGCTCTTTAGTTTAATGAGATCCCATTTGTCAATTTTGGCTTTTGTTGCCATTGCTTTTGGTGTTTTGGACATGAAGTCCTTGCCCATGCCTATGTCCTGAATGATAATGCCTAGGTTTTCTTCTAGGGTTTTTATGGTTTTAGGTCTAACGTTTAAATCTTTAATCCATCTTGAATTGATTTTTGTATAAGGTGTAAGGAAGGGATCCAGTTTCAGCTTTCTACATATGGCTAGCCAGTTTTCCCAGCACCATTTATTAAATAGGGAATCCTTTCCCCATTGCTTGTTTTTCTCAGGTTCGTCAAAGATCAGATAGTTGTAGGTATGCGGCGTTATTTCTGAGGGCTCTGTTCTGTTCCATTGATCTATATCTCTGTTTTGGTACCAGTACCATGCTGTTTTGGTTACTGTAGCCTTGTAGTATAGTTTGAAGTCAGGTAGTGTGATGCCTCCAGCTTTGTTCTTTTGGCTTAGGATTGACTTGGTGATGCGGGCTCTTTTTTGGTTCCATATGAACTTTAAAGTAGTTTTTTCCAATTCTGTGAAGAAAGTCATTGGTAGCTTGATGGGGATGGCATTGAATCTGTAAATTACCTTGGGCAGTATGGCCATTTTCACGATATTGATTCTTCCTACCCATGAGCATGGAATGTTCTTCCATTTGTTTGTATCCTCTTTTATTTCCTTGAGCAGTGGTTTGTAGTTCTCCTTGAAGAGGTCCTTCACATCCCTTGTAAGTTGGATTCCTAGGTATTTTATTCTCTTTGAAGCAATTGTGAATGGGAGTTCACTCCTGATTTGGCTCTCTGTTTGTCTGTTGTTGGTGTATAAGAATGCTTGTGATTTTTGTACATTGATTTTGTATCCTGAGACTTTGCTGAAGTTGCTTATCAGCTTAAGGAGATTTTGGGCTGAGACGATGGGGTTTTCTAGATAAACAATCATGTCGTCTGCAAACAGGGACAATTTGACTTCCTCTTTTCCTAATTGAATACCCTTTATTTCCTTCTCCTGCCTGATTGCCCTGGCCAGAACTTCCAACACTATGTTGAATAGGAGCAGTGAGAGAGGGCATCCCTGTCTTGTGCCACTTTTCAAAGGGAATGCTTCCAGTTTTTGCCCATTCAGTATGATATTGGCTGTGGGTCTGTCATAGACAGCTCTTATTATTTTGAAATACGTCCCATCAATACCTAATTTATTGAGAGTTTTTAGCATGAAGGGTTGTTGAATTTTGTCAAAGGCTTTTTCTGCATCTATTGAGATAATCATGTGGTTTTTGTCTTTGGCTCTGTTTATATGCTGGATTACATTTATTGATTTGTGTATATTGAACCAGCCTTGCATCCCAGGGATGAAGCCCACTTGATCATGGTGGATAAGCTTTTTGATGTGCTGCTGGATTCGGTTTGCCAGTATTTTATTGAGGATTTTTGCATCAATGTTCATCAAGGATATTGGTCTAAAATTCTCTTTTTTGGTTGTGTCTCTGCCCGGCTTTGGTATCAGAATGATGCTGGCCTCATAAAATGAGTTAGGGAGGGTTCCCTCTTTTTCTATTGATTGGAATAGTTTCAGAAGGAATGGTAACAGTTCCTCCTTGTACCTCTGGTAGAATTCGGCTGTGAATCCATCTGGTCCTGGACTCTTTTTGGTTGGTAAACTATTGATTATTGCCACAATTTCAGCTCCTGTTATTGGTCTATTCAGAGATTCAACTTCTTCCTGGTTTAGTCTTGGGTGAGTGTATGTGTCGAGGAACGTATCCATTTCTTCTAGATTTTCTAGTTTATTTGCGTAGAGGTGTTTGTAGTATTCTCTGATGGTAGTTTGTATTTCTGTGGGATCAGTGGTGATATCCCCTTTATCATTTTTTATTGTGTCTATTTGATTCTTCTCTCTTTTTTTCTTTATTAGTCTTGCTAGCGGTCTATCAATTTTGTTGATCCTTTCAAAAAACCAGCTCCTGGATTCATTGATTTTTTGAAGGGTTTTTTGTGTCTCTATTTCCTTCAGTTCTGCTCTGATCTTAGTTATTTCTTGCCTTCTGCTAGCTTTTGAACTAGCTCTTGCTTTTCTAGTTCTTTTAATTGTGATGTTAGGGTGTCAATTTTGGATCTTTCCTGCTTTCTCTTGTGGGCATTTAGTGCTATAAATTTCCCTCTACACACTGCTTTGAATGCATCCCAGAGATTCTGGTATGTTGTGTCTTTGTTCTCGTTGGTTTCAAAGAACATCTTTATTTCTGCCTTCATTTCCTTATGTACCCAGTAGTCATTCAGGAGCAGGTTGTTCAGTTTCCATGTAGTTGAGCGGCTTTGAGTGAGATTCTTAACCCTGAGTTCTAGTTTGATTGCACTGTGGTCTGAGGGATAGTTTGTTATAATTTCTGTTCTTTTACATTTGCTGAGGAGAGCTTTACTTCCAACTATGTGGTCAATTTTGGAATAGGTGTGGTGTGGTGCTGAAAAAAATGTATATTCTGTTGATTTGGGGTGGAGAGTTCTGTAGATGTCTATTAGGTCCGCTTGGTACAGAGCTGAGTTCAATTCCTGGGTATCCTTGTTGACTTTCTGTCTCGTTGATCTGTCTAATGTTGACAGTGGGGTGTTAAAGTCTCTCATTATTAATGTGTGGGAGTCTAAGTCTCTTTGGAGGTCACTCAGGACTTGCTTTATGAATCTGGGTGCTCCTGTATTGGGTGCATATATATTTAGGATAGTTAGCTCCTCTTGTTGAATTGATCCCTTTACCATTATGTAATGGCCTTCTTTGTCTCTTTTGATCTTTGTTGGTTTGAAGTCTGTTTTATCAGAGACTAGGATTGCAACCCCTGCCTTTTTTTGTTTTCCATTTGCTTGGTAGATCTTCCTTCATCCTTTTATTTTGAGCCTATGTGTGTCTCCGCACGTGAGATGGGTTTCCTGAATACAGCACACTGATGGGTCTTGACTCTTTATCCAACTTGCCAGTCTGTGTCTTTTAATTGGAGCATTTAGTCCATTTACATTTAAAGTTAATATTGTTATGTGTGAATTTGATCCTGTCATTATGATGTTAGCTGGTGATTTTGCTCGTTAGTTGATGCAGTTTCTTCCTAGTCTCGATGGTCTTTACATTTTGGCATGATTTTGCAGCGGCTGGTACCGGTTGTTCCTTTCCATGTTTAGCGCTTCCTTCAGGAGCTCTTTTAGGGCAGGCCTGGTGGTGACAAAATTTCTCAGCATTTGCTTGTCTGTAAAGTATTTTATTTCTCCTTCACTTATGAAGCTTAGTTTGGCTGGATATGAAATTCTGGGTTGAAAATTCTTTTCTTTAAGAATGTTGAATATTGGCCCCCACTCTCTTCTGGCTTGTAGGGTTTCTGCTGAGAGATCCGCTGTTAGTGTGATGGGCTTCCCTTTGAGGGTAACCCGACCTTTCTCTCTGGCTGCCCTTAACATTTTTTCCTTCATTTCAACTTTGGTGAATCTGACAATTATGTGTCTTGGAGTTGCTCTTCTCAAGGAGTATCTTTGTGGCGTTCTCTGTATTTCCTGAATCTGAACGTTGGCCTGCCTTGCTAGATTGGGGAAGTTCTCCTGGATAATATCCTGTAGAGTGTTTTCCAACTTGGTTCCATTCTCCGCATCACTTTCAGGTACACCAATCAGACGTAGATTTGGTCTTTTCACATAGTCCCATATTTCTTGGAGGCTTTGCTCATTTCTTTTTATTCTTTTTCTCTAACCTTCCCTTCTCACTTCATTTCATTCATTTCATCTTCCATTGCTGATACCCTTTCTTCCAGTTGATCGCATTGGCTCCTGAGGCTTCTGCATTCTTCACGTAGTTCTCGAGCCTTGGTTTTCAGCTCCATCAGCTCCTTTAAGCACTTCTCTGTATTGGTTATTCTAGTTATACATTCTTCTAAATTTTTTTCAAAGTTTTCAACTTCTTTGCCTTTGGTTTGAATGTCCTCCCGTAGCTCAGAGTAATTTGATCGTCTGAAGCCTTCTTCTCTCAGCTCGTCAAAGTCATTCTCCATCCAGCTTTGTTCCGTTGCTGGTGAGGAACTGCGTTCCTTTGGAGGAGGAGAGGCGCTCTGCGTTTTAGAGTTTCCAGTTTTTCTGTTCTGTTTTTTCCCCATCTTTGTGGTTTTATCTACTTTTGGTCTTGATGATGGTGATGTACAGATGGGTTTTTGGTGTGGATGTCCTTTCTGTTTGTTAGTTTTCCTTCTAACAGACAGGACCCTCAGCTGCAGGTCTGTTGGAATACCCTGCCGTGTGAGGTGTCAGTGTGCCCCTGCTGGGGGGTGCCTCCCAGTTAGGCTGCTCGGGGGTCAGGGGTCAGGGACCCACTTGAGGAGGCAGTCTGCCCGTTCTCAGATCTCCAGCTGTGTGCTGGGAGAACCACTGCTCTCTTCAAAGCTGTCCGACAGGGACATTTAAGTCTGCAGAGGTTTCTGCTGTCTTTTTGTTTGTCTGTGCCCTGCCCCCAGAGGTGGAGCCTACAGAGGCAGGCAGGCCTCCTTGAGCTGTGGTGGGCTCCACCCAGTTGGAGCTTCCCGGCTGCTTTGTTTACCTAAGCAAGCCTGGGCAATGGCGGGCGCCCCTCCCCCAGCCTCGCTGCCGCCTTGCAGTTTGATCTCAGACTGCTGTGCTAGCAATCAGCGAGATTCTGTGGGGTAGGACCCTCCAAGCCAGGTGAGGGATATAATCTCGTGGTGCGCCGTTTTTTAAGCCGGTCTGAAAAGCGCAATATTCAGGTGGGAGTGACCCGATTTTCCAGGTGCGTCCGTCACCCCTTTCTTTGACTTGGAAAGGGAACTCCCTGACCCCTTGCGCTTCCCAGGTGAGGCAATGCCTCGCCCTGCTTCGGCTCGCGCCCGGTGCGCGCACCCACTGGCCTGCGCCCACTGTCTGGCACTCCCTAGTGAGATGAACCCGGTACCTCAGATGGAAATGCAGAAATCACCCGTCTTCTGCGTCGCTCACGCTGGGAGCTGTAGACCGGAGCTGTTCCTATTCGGCCATCTTGGCTCCTCCTCCTCTGGTATGTCTTTATAGCAGTATGAGAATGGACTAATACAGAAAATTGGTACCAGAGTAGAGTGGCATTTCTATAAAGATACCTGAACTGTGAAAGTGATTTTGGATCTGAATAATGGGCAGAGGTTGGGACAGTTTGGAGGGATGAGAGGCAGACAGAAAGATGAGGGAAAGTTTGAAACTTCCTAGAGGCTGAGTGTGGTGGCTCATGCCTGTAATCCCAGTACTTTGGGAGGCCAAGGGGGATGGATCCCTTGAGGTCAGTAGTTCAAGACCAGCCTGGTCAACATGGCAAAACCCCGTCTCTACTAAAAACATGGAAATTAGCTGGGCCTGGTGACGCATGCCTTAATCCTCGCTACTTGGGAGGCTGAGGTATGAGAATCGCTGTGAGCCAAGATTGTGCCACTGCACTCCAGCCTGGGTGACAGAGTGAGACTCTGTCTCAAAAAAATAAATAAATAAATAAGAAAGAAAAAGAAAAAAAACCCGCCTTCCTAGAGACTTATTGAATGGTTGTGATTGAAATGCTGATAGTGACATACACAGTGAAGTCCAAGCTGAGGTGGTCAGGTGGAGATGAGGAACTTATTGGGAACTGCAGTAAAGGGAGTAAAGGTCACTCTTGCTAGGCTTTAGCAAAGAGACTGGTGCCATTGTGCCACTGCTCTAGAGATGTGTAGAACTTTGAACTTGAGAGAGATGATTTAGGGTACCTGGTAGAAGAGATTTCTGAGCAGCAAAAGAGTTCAAGAGGTAGCCCAGCTGCTTCTAAAAGCCTACAATCATTTGCATAACCAAATAATTGAGCTGAAACGAGAACTTATATTTAAAAGAGAAGTAGAGCATAAACGTTTGGAAAATTTGCTGCCCAACTACGCAGAAAAGAAAAACCCATTTTCTGGAGAGGAATTCAAGGCTGCAGAAATTTGCATAAGTAAAGAAGAGATGAATGTTAATAGCCTACACAATAGGAAAAATGTCTCCAGGGTACGTCAGAGGTCTTCACAGCAGCCCCTCCCATCATCAGCCTGGAGGTCTAGGAGGGAAAAATGGTTTCCTGGGCTAAGCACAGGGCCTCACTGCTCTGAGCAGCCTTGAGACATGGTGCTCTGTGTCCCAGCTGCTCCGGCTCCAGCTGTGGCTAAAAGGGTTCAAGGTACAGCTTGGGCCATTGTTTCAGAGGATGCAAGCCCCAAGCCTTGCTGGCTTCCATGTGGTGTTGGGCCTGTGGGTGCACAGAAGGCAAGAGTTGAGGTTTGAGAGCCTCCTCCTAGATTTCAGATAAGGTATAGAAATGGCTGGGTGCCTAGGCAGAAGTCTGCTGCAGGGGTGGAGCCCTCATGGAGAACCTTCACCAGGGCAGTGCAGAGGGGAAATGTGGACTTGGAGCCCCCATGCAAAATCCCCACTGGGGCACTAACCTAATGGAGCAGTAAGGAGAGAGCCACCCTCCTCTAGACCCCAGAATTGTAGATCCACTGACAGCTTGCACCATGGTCCTGGAAAATTCATAGCACTCAATGTCAGCCTTTAAAAGCAGTCACAGAGGCTGTACCCTGAAGAGCCTCAGGGCCACCCTGCCCAAGGCTGTGGAGGCTCATCCCTTGCCTCAGTGTGGCCTAGATGCAAGACATGGAGTCAAAAGAAGTTATTTTGGAGCTTTGAGATTTAATAACTGCCCTGCTGGGTTTTGAACTTGCATGAGGCCTGTAGCTCCTTTCTTTTGGCCAATTTCTCCCTTTTGGAATGGGAACATTTACCTAATGCCTGTATCCCCATTGTATCTTGGTAGTATTTAACTTGTTTTTGATTTTACACACTCATAGGCAGAAGGGACTTGCTTTGTCTCAGGTGAGACTTTAAACTTAGACTTTTGAGTTAATACTGGAATGAGTTAAGACTTTCAGGGACTGTTGGGAAGGCATGATTGTGTTTTGAAATGTGAGAACAGGAGGGGCCAGGGGTGGAATAATATGGTTTGGCACTGTGTCTCCACCCAGATCTCATGTTGAATTGTGATTCTGAGTGTTGGAGTTGGAGCCTGGTGGGATGTGATTGAATCATGGGGGGTGGTTTCTAATGGTTTTACACCATCCCTCTAGTGCCATCTCATGATAGAGTTACATTTGGTCATTTGAAAGTTTGTAGAACCTCCCCCCCTTTCTCTCTCTTCTGCTCTGCCATGTGAATAAGGTGATTGCTTCCTCTTTGCCCTTCTGCTTTGATTGTAAGTTTCCTGAGGCCTCCCCAATCATGCTTCCTGTACAGCCTGAAGAAATGTGGGTCAATTAAACCTCTTTTCTCCATAAATTACCCAGTTGCAGTTCTTTACAGCAATGTGAGAGTGGGCTAATATGTTTAGAGTAAGAAATAATTCTTAATTCTTTATTTGTCATTTATTATTCAGGGACACATTTAATTTTCATGCACTTGCACATTTTTGAATGTTCCTTTTTATTATTAATTTCTAGTTTTATTTCACTGTGGTGAGAAAAAGATACTTGATAATATTTTGATTTCTAAAAATTTCTTGAAGCTTTTTTTTGTGGCCTAGCATATGGTATGTCCTGAAGAAGGTTCCATGCCTCAATGTGAAGAATGTGTTGTGTTCTGTTGCTGGATAAAATGTTCTGTAAATGTCTGTTAGATCTATTAGGTTGAAAGTACAGTTTAAATCCAGTGATTTTTTTTAATTTTTATTTATTTATTTATTTATTTTTATTTTTATTTTTTTTTTGAGATGGAGTCTTGCTCTGTAGCTCAGGCTGGAGTGCCATGGTATGATCTTTGCTTGCCGCAATCTCTGTCTCCCAGATTCAAGCAAATCTCCTGCCTCAGCCTCCATAGTAGCTGGGATTATAGGCACGTGCCACCACACCTGGTTAATTTTTGTATTTTTAGTAGAGATGTAGAGATGGGGTTTCACCACGTTGGCCAAGCTGGTCTTGAACTCCTGACCTGAAGTGATCCACTTGGCCTCCCAAAGTGCTAGAATTACAGGCATGAGCCACTGTGCCTGGCCTTGATTTATTTTTATTTTTATTTTCTTTCTAGATAATTTAGCCATTGCTGAGAGTGGGGTGTTAAAATCACTATTATCGTATTGGAGTTTATCTCTCCAATTATATGAAATAATATTTGCTTTATATATGTGGGTGTTCTGGTGTTGGGTGTATTTGTATTTATAATTGTTATATCTTCCTGATGAATTGATTCTTTTATCAGTATATAGTGAGTAACCTTTTTGTCTCTTCTTCAGTTTTGATCTAAAGTCTGGTTTAATTTATGTTAGTACAGCTACTCCTGCTTGCTTCTTATTTATGTTTGTGTGGGATACCTTTTTATATTCTATCACATTCACTCTGTTTGTGTCTTTACAGACAAAGTTTATTTCTTGTAGGTAGCATATAGTTAGGTCCTATTTGCTTATCCATTCAGCCAGTCTATGGTTTTCAGTTGGAGAATTTAATCCATTATTATTCAAGGTTATTGCTAATAATACATGAGGACTTACTCCTGTCATTTCATTAATTGTTTTCTGGTTGTTGTGGGTATATATCCTTTGTTACTTTCTTTCTCTCTTATTATTTATCAATATGGATTGGTTTTCTGTGGTGATAAGTTTTTATTCCTCTCTCTTTGTCCTCTGTGTATCTACTCCACCAGTGAGTTTTCTATTTTTGCATGTTTTCATGATGATCATTATAGTCCTTTTGCTTCCGTATTTAGGACTGTCTAGCAACTTTCTCTTAAGACTTGTCTAATGGTTATAAATTCCATCAACTTTTGTTTGTGTGGGAAAAACTTTATTTTCTCTTTCATTTCAGAAGGATAGTTTTGCTAGATATAGTATTCTTGGTTGATAATATTTTTTCTTTTGGCACTTTGAATGTGTGATCCCATTATCTCTTGCCTGTAAGAGTTCCTGCTGAGAAATCTGCTATTAGTCCAGTGGGGCTTCCTTCATATGTAACTTGATGCTTTTCTCTTGGTGTTTTTAGAATTTCTTCTTTGTGTTTGATTTTTGAAATTTTCACTCTCTTGTGCCCTAGAGAAAATTTTTTTGGATTGAATATATTTGAAGCTTTTGAGATTTCTGAATCTGGTGTCCACAATTTTCCCAAGATGGGAATTTTTTAGCCATCATTTCATTAAATAGATTTCTGATGCCTTTTCCCATCTCTTCTTCTCCTGTTAATGCCATAATGCAAATATATGCATTTTTAAAAAGATGTCCCATAAGTCCTATATGCTTCCTTCACTTTTTATATTTATATTTTTATTTTTTCTATGACTGGGTAATTTCAAATGACCTGTCTTCAAGTTCAGAGATTATTACCTCTGCTTGATCTAGTCTGGTATTAAGGTGCCTGATGTATGTTTTATTTCATTCATTGATTTCTTCAGCTGTAGAATTTCTAATTTGGTTCTGTTTTATGATATCTATCTCTTTATAAAATTTCTTTTTTATATTTCAAACTGTTTTCCCGATTCCTTTGAATTGTCTATCTGTAGTCTGCTGTATCTCACTGAGCTTCCTTAAGGTCATTATTTTGAATGTCTTTTCTGGGAATTCTAGACTTCTTTTTCTTTGGAGGGTAGCCCAGCTGCTTCTAAAAGCCTAGAGTTATTGAAGAGTTATTGTGTTCCTTTGACAATCTCACATATCCTTACTTTATCATGTTTCTTTTGTCCCTGCATTTTGTCTGTATATCTTGTTCAGCAATTGATTATTTTAAACATTACAAGTGGCTTTCATAGAGAAAGACTTTCACCTGAAGTTGGGTTGTTCTGGTTGAGATGGGTATGGTGACTCTGGTAATGAGTAGATACAGTGATATAGTCTCCATGCAGCTTCTTCAGCTGTGATCAAGTCAGCAATAACTGTGGCTATCTCAGTGACTTAGGCTATAGAAATGTGTGGTAGTGGCAATGAGAATATAGGTAGTTAAAGTTCTTGGAAGCAAGGGATTTGGGGGTACTCTTATTTTTGTTTTCTCCAAAATGAGGAGACTCAGCAAAGAGGATCCCTTCTGTGTTAGGTCCAACGTGGCCTATAAGTAGCTGTAGTGGTAATGGGTTCCAGGTGCATGTGCTCATAGTGATTGTGGAGCTAGAGTCTTAGGCTTAGGATCTTATGAACCCATTTTGGTACCTGAGTCTTGGGTGAAGTTTCACTCTCTGTGCAGGGTTTACTGTAGATTGCCCAAACAGCCAGGATCTGTGACTCAGAAACATCCCCTAGCAGCTCAGGCACAGAGGGCCAGGTTGTGGTTGTAATTCTGACTGTAGAGGACAGGGCAGTCTTGGCTTGACTCCAGGAAAGATGTCTTCTGAAGGTTTGGACCTGGTGAGCAGAATATTGCTGCAAATTATGAACGAAAGCCAATAGGACTCAGTGACAATTTGGGTCCCAGGAAATGAGGCACTGTATAGTGGTGACTCTAGACCCTTAGATGGCAGAAATTGGCAGTATTCTAGACACTCGTTAGGCCAGGTGCAGTGGCAGCAAAACCCTAAAATGATAGTACACAGCTTGCATATGTGCGCCCCGAGTGTAGGCAGCAACACAACTTGACTCCACTCCCTAGAAAGAGACATGTCTCAGCAGCTCAGACTCTAGGAGGCTAAACCAGCTTCAATGAAGTGGAATACTAGCATAGTTTGGCCTAGAGGCCAGTATTTCTCAGCTTAGCCACTGCTCTGTTTCTCTGGGATGTGTGATACTACATCAGCTTAGCCGTTGAATGTGCAGCTTCTCAGCTCAGCCAAGGCACTGGGGCCAATGTGCCTCTTCAGCTCAGGCCCAAGCAGCGTGATTATTCTTGGAAGCCCAAACACCATTTCCCTGGGATGCATGGTGCCACATAGCTAAGGCAATGTGGTGTGTGACTGCTCTGGGCATCCAAAGCACTGCTTCCCTGGATGTCTGGCACTGCTTCAGCTCCAACACAGGGGACAGGGGACAGCAGCAAATGGGAGAGGCCTATGGAATAGCTCTATCAAAGCACCATTTCCCTGGCAGGTAGTGTGTGGCTTCAGCTCGCAGTCCATGGGGCAGGATTACACAGCAACTGGAAATGTTTTTTTGCAGTCACTCTGCCAAATAGCCATTTCTTTTGAGAGGCAGCTCACAGATCCAGCTCAAGGCCTTAAAAACAGGGTGCAGCAGTGACTGGGAAGGGTAGATGGAGCAGTTCCACTGAGGCACTGTTTTCCCTGAAGGAAGTGTGCAGCTTCAGCTTGGGTGCTAAGAGGCAGACCACAGTCACAACTGTTAGGGGTAAGTGGAGAGGTTCCACTGCCACTTAGCCCCACACAGAAAAGTGCCATAGCTTCTTGAAACTTGGATTGGCGACGTTGAACTACTGGGCAGGCATGGTTCACTGACAGCTTAGCCTCAGAAATGAAAAGGCACAGTAGCCACTCACCCTTGAAGCAAAACACACACCAACAGTAGTGCCAGTTCCAAGATAGTGTAGTGCAGTAGCCATGAGGGCCACTGGTGGCAGGATACAAGTTTACTCTTTCTCCCCGGCTCACACAAACTGTGTACCAGGCAGTTCCCTTAGCTGGGCTTAGTGCCTATGAGGACTGCAGGGGACCCCAGAGGTGAGGACTATAGGTGTCTAAGATATTGAGGGGGAGCTGCTGGAATCTTCTTGCTTACCTTTTCCCCAGCAGGAAAAAGTTCTTCCTAGTTCCCAGCTGAGCCTGGCTGAGAGATGTGGTGGTGGAGGCCAGGTGTTTCCTTTCATTCTTTCTGTGGCCATCCTGAGTTTCTGTGTTCATAAATTTTTGTTACTCCTTTGATATACTCTGGTGCTCTCCTTTATTTTTGTCAAAAAGTAGTTGGATATTTGTTGTTTTGGCTGACTTTAGTGATGGAGAGCAAGCTCTAGGACTTTCTAATCACCCCTCTTGCTGACATCAGAACTGCATAACAGGTATTCTTACCTCCATTATAGAATAAAAGGAATTCAGCCTCAGATATGTTACATAACTTCACTGAAGTTACACAGCTCCTCAGTGGCAAAACAAGTATTCTAATGTAGGTTCAATATCAAAGTTGCAAGTTTTTTTCCCACAACAAATTACCTTAGAGCTGAACAATTATCAGTAACAAGTTTAAAACAAATACATATATTTTTATTAAATTCCGTTATATTGATGATGTGCCTATTTGTTTCCATTTATTCAATAAATATTTATTGTCTGTTCTACGGAAATTTTAGAGTATACAGGATAGAAACATAAAATGAATGAAGGATTATAATACATTATAATAAATTCTGAAATGCTGAGATATAGGTATTGTGGAAATATTTTAAAGGAATGTCTAACTCAGCAGTAAGTGTGTGAAGAACGTGTCTTATACTGTCATGTCAAAAGGGTCCTATGCTGCCATTTTTAAAATGAGGGTCACCTGGAAATGATTCTAGATATGAATGCAGGCGTTCTAATTTTGAAAAGCAATATAAAGATCTTGTAAATTATCCTAAAATTTGTGGGAGTTGCAGGGGGAAAATTGGCTTTAAATAGTTTTGAACAAGGTATATCCAGAAATAGCTTTCTATTTGCAAGATCATTACCAACACTATATAAAGAATGTCTTTGAAAAGGGAGATTCATTGTATCTTTTTGCCATTATGCACATGAAAAATTAAGTCAAAGTAATATAAAAGAAATAAGAGACTGGAAAGAGCAATACTTATGTGGTAATATCAAAAGAATTTTGCTTGGGAGAGAAAAGAAGATTGAGAAGTACTAAGGTTAAAAATAGAGCCTTAAACATTCCATTACAGCTCAATTCATATATTAAACTTACAGCAGTATATCCAGTTAATTAGGCTGTTAATTTGATAAGCATGGCTGAGTGCAATTTATTTAGAACAAACTAATAATGATTTTGCTTATTAAGGATGGTTTAAATGTATGCAGAGGAAAAGGAGCTGGGGAAAGAGATACAAATTTATATTAATCAGGGTTCTTGGTTGCAAAGCACCTGTAAATAAAACTAAAAAAAAAAACTAAAGAAAAAATAATTTATTGAATGGGCAGCAGATAGTTTATAGAATTTATAGGTATGCAGAACAATTATACTCAGAAAATGGGCAGGGCCAAAGTTGCCTGCTCATCAGACATCCTCAAGCGAAGTCAGTCTTGCCAGCTCTCCACTTCCCACATATATGCCCCAGCAATAATTAAAGTATAAAATACACATTACATTTTGAAGATTCAGTATGGAAAAATAATGTAAAAATATCACTTTAATATTTCCATATTAATTACATTTTGAAATGATAATGTTTTGCATCTATTGGTTTCAATAATATAATCTTAAAATTAATTTTACTTATTTCTGTTTGTTTTTTTTTCTAATTTGGCTAGTAAACATTTTAAAATTAAATATGTGGCTCTCATTTGTGTCTTATATTTACATAGGGTAGCATTGTCATAGAGTACTAGCTGGGGTCTTGTGTGAATGTATGTGTGTGTGCAGGAAAAAAAAAGGAATTGATTCAGAACTGATAATAGCATTGAGCTATATAGCATTGGGTTATTGTCTTTTTTTTTTTTCACTCAAATCAAGGTCAGTTTTATCATCACAAACCCTGATTCACCTGTTGGAAGACAAGAAGAGTGATACAATAGTATAGATTTGAAGACATCTCAGGCAATAGATCATCAATAGGCAATAGGTATAGAAAAGAAGAGATGAAGGGAACAAATTTCCATTTGGAGTGATAAGAAATTCTAAGCAATGTGTGGCTTGGTAAAATTTTGGAGTTTGCGATTTGTGTAATTCTTATATTTTATTGACATAATTTTTCATCAAATTAGGCCAAAAACTAAATGAAATGCCTACCAAAAAATACAAATGATGTAAAAAAGAGATAAAGCCAGGAGTCATTTAGGTTCATGTAGCATAGTTATAAAAACATTGATTGATTTATACTGTCGCATTACACTCACATGAATGTGTGAAAGGGAATTGAAGACAGTGTGTGCTAAAAAAGAAAAAATTCTAATCCTGTTACTTGTTATAAGCCTTGTAAAACACCAAATATCATACTTGGTAAAAGGAAATATTTTAACTGTTGTGTGCAAGAAAATTTGATTTTTTTCAACAGCAGTCAAAGCAGGAGCAAATGCTGACCTGCTGTTTCATGCAATAGAATCCTGTTCTTCTTGTTATGCCCATTAAACTAAGAATTGCTGAAGAAAGCAAACATCTTGCAAAGGACAAAGCCCATTTGAGCTTATAGTTTTGCCTTAGGCCAAAAAGGAAAGGAAAACCCTTTCTACACTTTCTAACCCTATATGGTAGTCGTCTTGCTAAAAGGGAAATCTTCTTCAGGCAATTCCCAATAAAGAATGTCATTATCTCCAGTGGCTCTTTTGATTGTTCTGCATACCAATCCATCAGCCGGTTTTCTAGTAGTTTCAGAGATGACTGTTAATGCCAGTAGCAATTATAAAGAACATTGATCCTGTAAAAGCAACAGTTTGATATTTATTCCTCCAAACTGCCTTTCCACAAATAATACCAGAACCTTTCCACTCTTAAAAGCTACAGCAGACATAAAATAAAATGATTGCGTTGACCAGGTGATTGAATCAACTGTCATAGGCATAAAATGATGGACTAATATTTTAAGAGAGATATAATACAAATCATTTAATAGATTTGGATACTGCTCAGTTTTGAAAGATTAATAAGGAGAGAAAGCTCTCTGTTCTCCAAAATATTTTCATTGTACATTTCAAAGTAGATGAAGGTTAGCTTTAATTTCTTCCTTTTAGCATCATGGCTTTCTGGTTTATGTATGTAATCACCATAAATGAAGTAAAACATAATTTCAGTCCTCTAAATATTAAAGTTTAAATAAACTAGCTTTAGATAATACACAAAGTATATTCTCTAATGATGTAAATATTTGCTGAATTAATGCAGCATTAGAAACCATGAACTTTCATAAATGAATGAAAAGATTCATTAGTCCCTATCCAGTCTAGAGTTACAGGAATCTTACTCCTCACAGTGGTATGAATTCCTACAGTCTCCAAACATGAAACTTATAAATCCCAACACTTACCTGACTAGTCTGAAGCAAGTTACCGTAGAATAACTAAGCATATTAACAGCTTCAATGGCAAATGCTGCTTTTTCTAAATTGAATAGTAGCTTCTTTAAGGTAGTTCATATAACTAATTAAACCAAGTTCAGTGCCTGTAACTTTAATTATATTACCACAGGAATCTAGGTATCAACATTAAGACATTTTCTGTATATAGTATACATGTAAAAGCAAGCACACTAGACCAGAGACAATAATGGGACTTTGCACACACAAATAATAATGATTAAAGATTAAATTCCCACAGATGCCTTCCACATGCCTTGCACTCTACTAAATCCTTTTATATAACCCATTTCGTCTCTAAAGCTAAGTGTGAGCTGTCGTATTTTTCATGTATACAGATAATCACACTGAAGTTCAAATTGAAAACATATGCCTGACTTTGAATAAATGTTCTTTTCATTACACAACTGTGCATCTCATTATTGACACTCACTAAGAAATTGATGAAAGAGGAATGAATAAATGAATGAAGGAATGGGTATAGAAATTCACTACTGTGCATATTGTTAAATTTTTACATATTTCTGGCAGTTTAGAAAAATGCATGTCTAAGACTGCTGTTTACATAATTAGTATCTAATATATAACTATCAACTATTTATTTTATGACATTCACTAGTTTTTAACTAACTATGATAATATATTTATTAGTTTATGTTTTTAACTTTTATTTAGGTTCAGGAGTACCTGTGCAGTTTTGTTATATAGGTAAACTGAATGTCTTGAGGGTTTCGTATACCAATTATTTTGTCACCCAGGTAATAAGCATAGTACCTGAGAGTTTTTTTAATCCTCACCCTCCTCCACCATCCACCCTCAAGTAGGCCCTGGTGTCTATTGTTCCCTTGTTTATGCCCATGAATACTCAGTGTGTGACAACATAATTTAGGAAATAATCTTATTCTATTTGTTTTAGAATATAGAATATTAGCCTTCTTAAATAAATTACTTATAGTAGTTAAAACATTTCCTGTTAATGCTGAGAAAAAACGTAATGTAAATAAGAAAATAAGCTCTTTTTGTTTTTGTTTTTGTTTCTGGATTCATGCCTTAACATGTCATAAGTCATAGTAAACAACATTTTTTATTTTTATTTTTACCATCACAAGGTTATCTTTTCTTTAAAAAAAATTTTTGTATTTGTAAACATTTTTGTGGGTACATAGTAGGTGTATATATTTATGGGGTACAAAAGATGTTTTGATATAGGCATGCGATGTGAAATAAGTACATCATGGAGAAAGGGTATCCATCCCCTCAAGCATTTATCCTTTGAGTTACAAATAATCCAATTACATTATTTAAGTTATTTAAAAATGTATAATTATTATTGACTATAGTCACCCTATTGTGCTATTAAGTAGTAGGTCTATTCATTCTTTCTAATTTTTTTGTACCCATTAACCATCCCACCTCCCCCACAACCCCCAACTACCCTTCCTGGACTGTGGTAACCAGCCTACTGTCTATGTCCATGAGCTCAATTGATATGATTTTCAGATCCTATGAAAAAGTGAGAAAATGCAGTGTATAAACACATAAAATATTATAAACATAACCACAAATATTCTAGCTTCTATTAAAATTTTACTCTGTATATGACAGGTCTGAATTATAAAGTATATTTTATTGAAAAGATTTGTACTGAACTCATAAAGTACGAAGTTTAAAGTATATTATTAGTACTTATTGACACATGTCGGAATAACCTGTCATAGGCATGAAAATAAATTGTAAGGAATAATACTTTTACTTAATATACTCTAAAAAGTTTTAATAATACTTAAGGACAAATCTAATGTATTAGAATCTGGTGAACATATTTGATTTTTAATCCTTGGATATATTTCTTCAATTTAAGTTGTGAGCTAACTTTCTCATATGGGCTTGCATATTGACTTTCAATCATTTAGTAAGAAAAAACTATAAAAATGGAAATATTTACTGTAAACAGCTGTAATTTTGTATAAGGGGCATTATAAATTGATATCCTAATATATCATCTTAAGTGTTACTTCATGCACTTAAGTGTGGAGAAAATAATTTCACTTACTCTATGCCCAAACATATCAAACAAGCTACAAATTTTATTAGCAAAATGCCTAGGGCACTTTAGGACAATTAGTACAAAAACGACCGACCACATTTATAAGTGTTTTAATATAATATGATAAACAATGGATTCACTTACTTGAAGAGTTTTAACTAATATTGTTGATATCTATTGTGTGTTTAGGTCTTACAAGAACTTCTTGGCTGGGCACGGTGGCTCACGCTTGTAATCCCAGCACTTTGGGAGGCCGAGGTGGGTGGATGACAAGGTCAGGAGATTGAGACCATCCTGGCTAACACGGTGAAACCCCGTCTCTACTAAAGATACAAAAAAAATTAGCCAGACGTGGTGGCGGGTGCCCATAGTCCCAGCTACTTGGGAGGCTGAAGCAGGAGAATGGCGTGAACCTGGGAGGTGGAGCTTGCAGTGAGCCGAGATCGCACCACTGCACTCCAGCCTGGGCTACAGAGTGAGACTCCGTCTCAAACAAACAAACAAAAAAAAAAGAGAAAACGAAGAAAAGAATGTGTTGGAATTAATTACTTCTGACAATAGCAGTATAGCATCTCACGATACACTGATAGGCTGAGGCAGGTGGATCACCTGAGGTCAGGAGCTCAAGACCAGCCTGGCCAACGTGGTGAAACCCCATCTCTACTAAAAAAAAAAAAAAAAAAATACAAAAATTAGCAGGGCATGATGGCAGACACCTGTAGTCCCAGCTACTCAGGAGGCCGAGGCAGGAGAATCACTTGAATCTGGGAGGCAGTGGTTGCAGTGAGCCAAGATGCCAAGATTGCGCCATTGCCCTCCAGCCTGGGCAGCAGAGTGAGACTCTGTCTTAAGGAAACAAACAAATAAATACAGGATTAGCTCAAAGTAAACTCTAATATAAACTTTATTAACTTTATACCACTTATTATTAGTTTCATATCACTTTCTCAAATATTCCCTTGCCTACATGTTTCTGACTTTCTAATAAATAATTAGTTAACCTTCAGGAATAGAAAAATTATTTATTCTTTGCCACACAACTCATGCTTTTTGAAAGCCCAGAATGTAAAACAATCTTTAAGAATATGAAATTGGTACATCCAACTATAAAGGCAAAAAAGACACTCTTCTAATTCCCTGCATTTCATCTATTTGAGAAAAAAGTATTTGCTTTACTTACTAAGTAAAATCACCGATCCTTACAATCCCCAGCACGAAGTTATTGACTGTTCCAATGCAGATAAAGAGAAAGAAAGAAAAATAAAAATAGAAAAGGAGAAAAGCAAAACACAAGGTGATTTCAAAGGAGTTGAACACATTTTACTACAAATAATAAAAACAAGTAAAATATCCAGTACCTAAGCATAGACTGGTTCTACTATTTTTCTTGTCTTCACACTTGTGTGGTAGTTGGCTTTTCCTGTTGCCATTAAGGCATTTTCTTTTCATTTTTCTTTTTTCTTTTTGAGATGGAGTTTCCCTGTTGTCACCCAGGCTGGAGTGCAATGGCGTGATCTGGGCTCACTGCAACCTCCGCTTCCCAGGTTCAAGTGATTCTCCTGCCTCAGCCTCCCGAGTAGCTGGGATTATGCGACACCACAACCGGCTAATTTTGTATTTTTAGTAGAGACGGGGTTTCTCCTTGTTGGTCAGACTGGTCTTGAACTCCCGACCTCAGGTAGTCTGGCCACCTCGGACTCCCAAAGTGCTGGGATTATATGCGTGAGTCACCATGCCAGGCCCATCAAGGCATTTTCTAGGAGCTTCAGTCACTGACTGCATGCAGAAAGACAGAGAAAGGGAGAGGAAGATGGAGTGGGGAAGAGAAGCAGATGAGAGATAGAGAAAAAAAAAAGTTTCTGCATCTAGGAGCAGAGGTAAGAAACTTTTCCATCTACTGTAAAGTTATACTGACTTGTCATTTCTTGGTGCCCATTAACTTCATATTCAATCAATTTGTATGGATTGAAATGAGTCAAAATTTCTTA
This sequence comes from Homo sapiens, assembly GCF_000001405.40. Taxonomy (NCBI): domain Eukaryota; kingdom Metazoa; phylum Chordata; class Mammalia; order Primates; family Hominidae; genus Homo; species Homo sapiens. The sequence continues at coordinate 132,930,222 of NC_000004.12, read as the reverse complement.
TGAATTCTAGAAGTACATTTACTGTTCAGACACAGTTTTTGAAAGAAATTTTATCTTTTTCTTATACATTGAAGAGACATTAGTAGAAATTATTTTAGGGAATCTTAGAAATATATCATTCTAAGGTGGATGACACTATGACATATCAGTTTTAGAAATATATTTAAATAGAATTCAACATGCTTTAAAAGCAGACATAGATGTTATTATAATAATTATCTTATTCTTTTTCTGCCTTGTTAATTACTGAAAAGGATGAAAAAGGATTAATTATAAATTATAATTATATAGTTAAACATTTGATTTTTAAATTCAAGAAAATGTTCAATTTGTAAATAATCACTAGTGATTGCATATGCTATTAATCGTACATATATACCTATGTATGTATATACAATCATGCATTGCTTAAGGATGGGATATGTTCTCAGAAATGCATTGTTATGCAATTTCATCTTGTGCAAACATCATAGAATGTACTGACACAAACCTACATGGTATAGCCTACTACACACTGAAGCTATATGGTATAGCCTATGGCTCCTAGGCTACAAACCTGTTGCTGAATGCTGAATACTGTAAGCAATTGTAATACAATGAAACGGCAAATATAGTACAACGTTTGTGTATCTAAACATATCCAAACATAGAAAAAGTACAGTTTAAGCCACTGTTGTACATGCGGTCCATAATTGCTCTGTAGTACATGAGTTTATATATGTGTGTGTGTGTATATATATATACATACATATATATATATATTTAGGACTATAGGAAATTTTAGAATAATCTTAAAAACATACTTATATTTACATTTCGCATACTGAAATAAAATCTAGTTTAAAGGCAACTGTGTCTATTTTACTCAAATGTTTATATTTATATGTTTATGTACAACCTCCTTACCCCAAAATTCATATGTTGAAGCCCTACCCTCAGTTCCTCAGAATGTATGTGACTGTATTTGGAGACAGACCCTTAAAAGAGGAGATAAAGTAAAAATTAAGCCGTTAGTGTGGGTCCTAATCCAGTCTAACTAGTGTCTGTATAAGAAAAGGAAATTAGGGCAGAGAGAGGAACCACAGAGAAACGCACACGAGAAAAAGCCATGGGAGAACACAGCAAGAAGGCAGCCATGTGCAAGCTAAAGAGAGAGGCTTCAGGAGAAGTCACACCTGCTGACACCCTGATCTCAGACTTCTAGCCCCAAGAACTGTGAGAAAATAAACTAATGTTTTTTAAGCCACCCAGACTGTGGTATTTTGCTGTGGCAGCCCCTGCAAACTAATAGAAGTATTATTCAGCATAGACAATTTCAGAAGTCTATACAAAACGTAATTTCCCATTTGCTGCTCAAATTGCTGACTTCAGAGCACAGAGAAATGCAAGCTGTTTGCAATATTTTTATGCATTGATATCACGTGAAATAAAAGAACAAAGAGTTTTATCTAAAAATGAGCATGTTATAAAACAGTTATCCAAAAATATGCCGTTTTCACTAAAAGAAAATAGATGATTCGATAAAGGTTATGTTACATTTAATAACTTATATGATTATTCAGATAACCTATTAGATTTTCTCTAAATAAAATTAAACCATAACCTTTTTTGCAGTGGCATTTGCCACCTTTCTCATATTGTTGTGGTCATTGTACAACATGAGATAAAAATGAACATATTAATAAAGTTAGTTGACATGGTCCTAAAATAAATTACTGCAAGTTTTCAATCCTCAAGTCTCATTGATATTTCTGGTTATAATCATCTTATTCCATCATAATATTAATTCATATATTCATTTAACTTTTATTGAACATTTTTCACAGGCAGGAGGATAAACATTGAGGAAATAATCAGGAATAAAATAGTCACTTATTTCAAGAGAGCTCATAGTCAATTGGCATATGAAAGATATGTGAAGGAACAAGAGCAAATAAGTTTTATAGTTGCTAAGTCATGTTAAGTACAAAGGACCTAAGTGGTCAGAGGTGAATTCTAGAATTGGGCAGTAGACTATGATAAGTTTGACTTGAAAGTTAGCCAGGATATCTAAAAATTAACTTCTGTATTTGGAACAAGACAACTTGAATCAAGAATGAATGCTTAAATACAGCCCCCAAAATGGAAGTAGCTATTAGTTGAATACTGACAATGGTTTGAACAGTACAATTCAGATCTGGAAACCTTCTCTACAGACAAATCTGTTTCAGCAGATGTTGTTTTGGGGAGGATGGGATTTGTTTCATAATCAATGGTGAAAAACATGTACAGTTACCACAGAAAGAATCTAGGAAACATAAGGTGAAATGTTTTACAACTTGATACTAAATTTTGCTTAGCATTCCAAAATTGTATGTTTTTAAACTCATAGCAGTGATTTTTATTTATTTATTTATTTAGTGACAGGGTTTCATTCTGAAATTCAGGCTGGAGTACAGTGGTGCCATCATGGCTCACCGCAGCCTTGGCCTCCTGGGCTCAAGCCATTCTCCCACCTCAGCCTCCCTAGTAGCAGAGACTACGGGCACATGGTACCATACCTGGCTAATTTTTGTATTTTTTGTAGAGACGAGGTTTTGCCATATTGTCCAGGTTGGTGTCGAGCTCCTCAGCTCAAGCTATCCACCTGCTTATGCCTCCCAAAATGTTATTAATAAGACTACAGGCATGAGCCACCACCCACAGCCCATAGCAATGTTAATTTTGTACATGAAAAAATAACAGAAGTAAACTAGAGTAAGACCAATTTTTTTGAAAGGCATTCAGCTTTTCCCCTTAGAAATAAGTGCAGAATATTTCAACAAAATTTTTCTAAAAGGTAATGATTTAATGTGTTACATCTGTGCAGAGATTATGTAAAACGATATGTTTGTTTAGCAGAACTTTTGTCTTTAATGTGATAATTTCCTCTACTAGTATAAATACATTAATTAATACAAAGTATCATATCAATTTCACTTTTTTGATTTAACTTTTATTTTTCACGTAATCATAGACTGGTAAAATTTTCATAGAATTTGCCACAAGTTTTTAGGTCCATAAACATAATAAGAAATCCAATGTTATTACAGTTCTCATTTTCCTTTTAATTTCCCTTCTCAAGGGTGGATAAAATAAAATATAATGCCCAGTTTCAGGTCTATGTATAATAGAGCATTTACAATAGTTACAATGAGCAGCGAAGCCAACAAATTGGTGCAAAACTGATAATTCTCCAGTTCAGTAGGCTAGATCTACGAAAGTTCTACCTTGAGCATACTGAATTTTATCTGCACAATTTTCTTTACCTACCCACATTCAAAAGAACATAAACAGCAATGCACCTGCACAACATACACATTTATTGCATTTGAACCCCTATATTACACACAAAGACACATGAACACATGCTGATATCGACATACAATAGAATACACAACTCAGGCCAGGCGTGGTGGCTCACACCTGTAATCCCAGCACTTTGGGAGGCCGAGGCAGGTGGATCATGAGGTCAGGAGATCGAGATCATCCTGGCCAACATGATGAAACCCCGTCTCTACTAAAAATACAAAAAATTAGCTGGGCGTGGTGGCACATGCCTGTAGTCCTAGCTACTTGGGAGGCTGAGGCAGGAGAATCACTTGAAACGAGGAGGCAGAGGTTGCAGTAAGCCAAGATCGGGCCACTGCACTCCAGCCTGGTGACAGAGCAAGACTCGGTCTCAATTAAAAAAAAAGAAAAGAATACACAACTCAGACAATTTCAAAGCAGCCATCAGTGAGGTTTAAAATTTATATAGGGACTCACATTTCAACAGAAAGATAATTCCAAAGCTGATCAATCTAAAAAGTAACACACGATTCTATATGATTCAGGAAGACAAAGAATACTGTAACATGAATACAAGGTCAGTAGTATGTCTTGCTCTTGAAGACAGACATGTAAGGAGATAAATAAATATAATGCAATAAATGTTATCATAGAAGAATATAAAAACTACCATGAAAACAGGCAAAGTTAATTTTGATTTGAAGTTTCAGAGAAAACAAGAATAATAGTGTATATTTGTTTTTACCATGAAGGTTTTGTTCATTTAATGAAAAACTAAAGGGGGAAATGGTAGTCAGAATAAGGGTGAAGGTCAAAGTCAGAAAAGTGAGAAAGTTTTTGGATTATCTTATATGTTAGAAACAGAAATCTTTTAACAGAAAGTTGAGAGATGAGATTTAAAAGGTGGCATAAGGTTAGATTTTGAAGGGCCTCATTTGACAAGTTTAGGAGTGTGTAGTTTATCTTATAGAGCAGGAAATTTTAAAAATAGAAGGATTTATTTTTGTATACATGCAATAGAGTATATAAAGCCTATATGTTCATAAAGCAAAAACCAGGACATGAAAAGGACATTTGTAACTCCCTATGTTCTCTGCCTAATCACATCCTCTTCCTTCCTCTGCCAATGAATCTACTGCGTTGGCATTGTTGATTTTTTTTTTTAATAGTTCTACTACTGATATACGAACTTCTAAATGATATATTTTAGTTCAGGCTGTTTTTGATCTTTTGTGACTTTTTTTTTCTTAAAATTATGTTTGTTGTATGACTTGTGTGTGTGTGTGTGTGTGTGTGTGTAGCTTTGATTTATTTATATGAACTGTTATATGACATACCATTATATTATGCTACAGTTATGACTAAATATGTCTTCTGGAAGATATAAGTGAAGAATTTTCTCTAGGTTATGTACCTAGATGTAAAATTGCTCTGTTAAAGTATTTGTGCACTTTTAAATTCTCTAGATGATATCAAAATCTTTCCCAATGTGATTCTAACAATATATATACCTCCTATCACTATATGAAAGTTATCATTTGGAAAGTTTTTTTTTAAAGTATTTGACTTTCTGTTTTGTTGTGTGATAGTTTTATTAATAATTGTGCCTTAAATTTACTTTTCATCTATTACTATTGGAGTCAACTATAATTTTAATTGTTTATTTGCCATTTTGATTACAAATTTATATTTTTTAGAGATATTTTGTGCTTTACCAATAAGTAGGAAATTCATATTCTCTGACTTTATACTTTGTTTTTTTGCCCTGTTTGTTTGTGGAATTTTCTGAAAACAATGGTTTTAATTTTCTAGTAGTCAAAATTATCAGTCTCCTCGATTATGAAAACTGGTTTATGCCTAGTTTTAGAAATTCTTTTTGATCCCAATTTAAATTTTTTTCAAAAATACACATTTTTGTCACATTTGAGTCTGATTGACCTTGAATTATTTTGAGATTTAATATATAGGTCAATTTCATTTTTTGCTTTTAATGAGTATGAAAAATTCATGAGCATAGCAACACTATCCATCATAAATTATTCTGTTCTTCATTTTTGCCTACATTTGACAGGACCAATTATGTCTTATATCCAGGGTCCATTCATAGGTGATATATTGATTTTATTATAATATATCAATGTATCACAATATATGTATAATATATTATAATTATAATATATTAAAATAATTGATTTTATCATTTACTGGTTTTATTATTCCAGTGACTATTATTCCACCAATGATACACTGTCTTCATCATAGCTACAAAATAAATTATTGATATTATTTTTGCTTTCTATTTCTTCTATTATGTGCCTATTTGCTCATTTCCTTGAAATTTTTTTTCTATTTACTATTGTGGAAATTAAGTATACTATTTATCTTTTTTAGCATTATAGGCATTTCAACATATATACTTAATGATCCAAATTCTAAAATTAATTAATACCTTAATCATCCTCCTAGACAATCCATGAAACTTAGAAAGTTTTAACTCCTTCTCTTATTAAAAAATATATTGTTAGAGCTGTATATTTTAATTACATATCGTCTCTTTTTTAAACAGATGTTCAGTTGCTTTTTCTTTTTTTCTCAAATATGTGAGGTCATTTTAAAACTAATTTCTTTCCCTGTCAATGTTTTTAAGCTCAATTCATATCTTTTAGATACAGTAAACATACATTTTTAATATATTTTAACACATTTTAAGCATACATTATTTAATAATGTACTGATAATTAAAATATCTGAAGACTTTACTTGCCTGTTTCTATTTTCTGTTGATTTGTATTTTTTTCTTATTTGCTTCTTTTGCCTTCTTTACTTGGTTCTAATTTATATTTTTTATTGCCTGGATGCACTACTAGTTTAGTATTACTTTTAACTAAATTATTAACTTGCATATTTTTTTCTGATCACCCACGGCATTTTAGCTTGGGCTGCGAATATGTACTTCTTTTCCTGTGGCTCAGTACTCTGAAGGACTTTCTCCCTTGTTATGCTTAGCCACAATAAAAATGTATGGATAGTTTTCATGATGTGAAGGTGGTGTCGATGGGCTTCTTTCTGGTTCACACCTAAAATGTAGATATAGAACTTTGTGCACCAGTTATTGAGAGAAAGTTTCTACTTGTAGACTCTCTCTCAGATGAATAATGGCTTTTGTTTCTGCCCACGTGCCCTACAAGGCCATGTAAACAAAGCTTGGGTTCTAGATATTAACAAACGCTCTCAGGGTAGAAGAGCTCTTATGATTACCTTTACCTCTCTGGATCCCTACTGCCACTTAGCCTTTGATCTTGTAATTTCTTAGTATCTGCTCCTTACATTGCTGTTTTTAAAGAGTATTTGGGGACCCCTACATCTGTGCTGATCTGCCTGACCTTGAACCAGTACATTGTTTCATGGGGGAAAATAAAACAGGGGAAGCACTTTCTCTGGCTTAGCCTCTTGCTTATATTATTGATGTAATTGATTAAAGCTTTGACTGTTAACTTTCATTTTTGCTTGTTGCTTTAATTGACTACTTTGACACCTGGTAGCCTCTGCATATTCTCTCCAACTTAGCTGGATTCCTGACAAATTGGTACAATGAACAGGATAGTTATGAAGCTCTGGAAGAACAAAAGCCTGAAGATTTTATAAGGCACCTTTGGAAGGTGTTAGCAAAGTACCTGGGGCATTATGAAAGTGCATCATTTGCAAGAGTCTGAGTGTTCCAGGGGACACTTCACAAACTGGCCTTGGTAAGTGCCAGCAAAGCCTGTGGGCACTCACCAGCCTTGATGGTGGGTTTTGGAAAGTGCTTGGGGCATTCTTAAAGGATGCTAGAGAATTTGTTTTTATAATCTTTTTATTTCTGAGAGGGATCACTGGTCTTTCTCATTAGTCTCTGACCCTCCAGCTGAGCATTTGGTTAATCCGATTAGAGATCAAGCATAGGGGTCCAGCAAAAGCTAGGAAAGCAATTTCTTAGCCATAGCCTAGAGCCCTCTACCAATAAGACCAGAGAGAGGTAGGGGGCTTCTGCATGCTGAGTAATACTAAGCAGGTCACTGATAAATACCCTGTGGTGCAGCAAGATGCTGAAACCTCAGATGAAAAAGAAATGCACAGCCATTTGGTATATTAATACTTTGCCCAGCACCATGATGAGACCAGGAGAATTCATTCGATATCCTCCAGAAGCCCTGCTCTCCTCTCATATGCCTGCCTTTCATTGCTCCATGGGAATCCTGGCCAAGAAACAGCTCTGCACCCCCAGCTAGCTTTTCCACCTAGTTCTTCACTAGCTGCTCCTGTCTCAGAAAACTTATGATCAAATTCTACCAGGTGGTCCCTGAAACTGCAAGAGGTCTCTTCCCTTGGTGAGGGATAGGGGATATCAGAGGTCCTTTGCCAAGGTTAAGGTTCAATGAGGAGATAAAGAAAATTTGCATTTCTTGAGCCTGTACATAAATAACCATGTTCCCTGAAATCCCTGGCACCAAGATGAGTTAAAAAAATAATAATGCTCTGTGGTTTTGGGTCTGAGGCCATCACTACAAGGACCCCTGCCCAAGACCGACTATGAGTGGTTCCCTTTAGTTATTACAGATCTCTCTTGTTAAGGCTTTCACTCCTGAATGTGTTATTGGTATTAATGTCTTGGTTATGTAGACTGCTGCTAGCCTTTGCCACCAAGTCCTGATATAATTGCTACAATAAGGAAAATTATAGAGGGCATGTGGAAGATTGTGAACCTACCTGACTTATGGTTTATAGTTAATACAACTGTTTGTTGGAGACACTGTCAAGCCTCAGACTGACATTTACAAAATAAGCTCTCCTGGGTGAGGAAACATTTGGGTAAAAACCAATTCCAGTCCTTATAAGTCTTTTGTTACCCATGTGGATGCTTATTAGACAGACTTCTACATTGACAGTGGGAAACATAACCAGTGAGCTGACTACACCTGTCAACTAAACACAGAAACTGAAGTATCTTCCACTGTCGAGCAACCAGATATGTGACTGATTGCCTCCTGGATACACAAGAGGGCAGCCCATGGACATTCAGACAACATCCTAGCCTGGGCTGACACATAGGAACTGCCACTTTCAAAGAAAAGTTGCCCTCACTGCAAATTCTGGTCAAGGTTAAATACACCACATAGGAGCAAATTCCACAAGTCAAGAACCAGAATATTCTTGGCAGGTAGGTCATGTTGGGCATTTCATCCCATCAAGAGAGTTTTACAGGATCCTGACTGCAGTGGACACTTTCTCTGGGTTTGGCTTAGCCATCTCCATGCATTCTACTGACTCAGGGCACACTATCCAGGTCCTACAAGGCTACATTTGTTTCCTGTTAGTGTTTCCTCATCACAGTGCATTTGACAGCAGGCCCAGATTTGTGACACAAGCTACACATTAATGGGCTCAGACATGGGACATACTATGAACCTTCAATGCTTCATATCACCCCCAAGACACAGGATTATCACATGTCGTAATGAAAAATTAAATTACAGGTGTACGTGTCTGATAGGTGAGGACAAAATAACCCAAACTTGGACTGCCCATCTTCTGTAGGCCATCTAAGATCTCAATGCAGCAATTCCTCAAAAGGGTATTTCTCATGTTCAGTCTGGTTATCTATCCCCTTTCCTTCAAACTTACACTCTTCTTTTATAATTATTGACACCGTAGTCTCACGGGGGATCCTATAAGGGCTTTGCTTTCCCTTCAATTTCTTTCTGAAGCCTCAAATCAATGAGAGCTCACAATGGCTATTAAGCAAGGGATGGGAGATATGTAAACTCATTTTGAAATCTTTTAAAACTTCAGGATTTTATACTAACCAATTCATAACCATAATGTGTCTGTGATTAATTTGTAGAAATTTTTTTTTTCATACAAATGCTTTTGTCCTTCTCACATATCTCTCAGTTGAAAGGTCTAAATAAGAGTAGGTGATGACTTTTGGCTGGGCACAGTAGCTCACACCTGTAATTCCAGCACTTTAGGAGGCCAAGGAGGGCAGATCACTTGAGGTCAGGAGTTTGAGACCAGCCTGGCCACCATGATGAAACCCTGTCTATACTAAAAATAGAAAAATTAGCTGGGCATGGTGGCATGTGCCTGTAATCCCAGCTACTTGGGAGGCTGAAGCATGAGAATCACTTGAACTCAAGATGCAGAGGTTGCAGTGGGCTGAGATCTCGCCTTTGTACTCCAGCCTAGGAGACAGAGCAAGACTCCATCCATACACAACCCACCCCTGCCCCTGAAAAAATAGTTGGTAACTTTTTTAAATAATAAAGTTTTTATTACTAGATGGAAAACACTGATGATAGCAGTAAATAAAACAAAACTAAAACCTTGACGCCTGGGGAGGCAACAGGGAGGATGTTAATGATCTTTATCTTACTCCTCCTAAAAGCTTTTTTGTCCTCCAAAGAAATGAACAGACTAAAAAACTCATTCTCCCTGCTACCTTTCTAAGCTGTTGTGGGCACTTCAGATTCAAACTGACGGTGATATTATGACCATGCCTATGACAGCAAGAGCATCAGAGAATGACCTCATCTCCTGAATGCCTGTGAGACAGTAGAGGGTCACGGCTTCAGCCGCTGCACACCCCATGCATAACCCTCTAGATGTTGTTCATACTTGTGAGGCTGAAAAACAGATACTATGAATAAGCAAAACTGTTTGAAAACTACTGCCACTGGTGGCTCTTCTAAAACCAAGGATTCAACTGAGTTTTTTGGACTGACCTGGGAATCCTAGGGTTGGAGGCCTGATGACCATAGGCTACTCTGGAGATCCTGCTAACCTGATGTTAACAGGTGTATATATGCCCTGCTTGGGTGCCCCAACATTGTAAATGGTTTGCTTCCAGAAGGACCAGCTATGCCCTTGGGGTGTGTACTCTATCAGGGCACTACCTCTGCTTGGAAGGCTTCAGGTCAGCCTTAACTTACTGGCCAGAGCTATGCTGTGTCTGAATTGATACCTCTGGCCAGGGATAGGGCTATGACACATATTTTCCTGACTCGATAACTGTATTAGTCAGGGTTCTCTAGGGAGACAGAAATAGGTGAGTTTATTAAGTATTAACTTACATGGCCACAAGGTCCCACAATAGGCTGTCTGCAAGCTTGAGGAGCAAGGAGATCCAGTCCGAGTCTCAAAACGGAAGAACTTGGAGTCCGATGACTAAGATGCCATTATAAATATCAGTACTCCTCTTTCAATAACTTATAGTTCAAGGATACAACAGAAAAAAGTAATATGATAAATTTGAATATTATTCTGAACTGGATCTAATAAACATATAAAAAACATTAGGTCCAATAAATGGAGAATACCTATATGCTATAGTTTGGATATTTGTCCCCACAAACCCCATGTTGAAATTTGTTTCCCAATGTTGAAGGTGAGAGTCTAATGGAAGATGTTTGGGTCATGGTGGTGGATCCCCCATGAGATGCTTGATGCCATCCTCACAGTAATGGGTCAGTTCTTGCTCTGTTGGTTCTCACAAGAGCTGGTTGTTAAAAACAGTCTGGCATATCCTCCTCTCTCTTATTTCCTCCCATATGATGTGATTTCTACACACGCCGGCTCCCCTTGCATTCTGCCATGAGGAAGTACGCTGAGGATCTCATGAGAAGCTGAGCAGATGCCAGCACCATGCTTTTTGTACAGCTTGCAGAACCATAAGCCAAATAAATCTCTTTCCTTTATTAATTGTTCAGCCTCAAGTATTCCTTGATAACAATGCAAATGGACTAAGACAACCTATTTGTCCCAAACTGACACCAAGCAAAAATTGATTGTCAATATCCTAATCCCAAATGGTACATTAAATAATTTATTGTTTGACTTTATTCAGAACACAAACACAATTTATTCAGAACACAAACCAGTGCAACTAAGTTAAAAATATGATAGTTACTTAGAAAAATACTTTCATATTCAGAAATTTAAAATTATACTTCTACAAACATAAATAAAAAGAAATCCTGATGAAAGAAAATTCTAAGAACTGATTGACAATTAAAAATATTACATGTTGAAATTTGTGGGATATGATTAAAGCATCATTTAGAGGGAAATACATAGTCTTAAAACTACATATGAAAATAAAAGAAGATAAGAAGTTGTAAACACAAGCTAAATGAAAAAGTAACAAGAAAGGAACTAAGGAAAGTAAAAAGAAAAAGTTAAATACAAACATTCAGTGTAGCAACACAGAGCTCCATTTGTCTTTAAGAAATGTAATGAATCAGACAATTCTTGATCACATAAATTTTAAAATGAAGAGACAAATAATTTTATAAAGAAAATAAAAATATGTAAATACATAAGCTGAAATATGTGTTTTTATATAACATGTATTTATAAAATGAAATATATCACTGTGGTAGGCAGCTCCAAGATAGCTTCTAGTTATCCCATAGTATTTATACCCTTGTATAATTATCCCTCCTTGAATGTGGGCCAGACATAGCAATTTGCATCTAACAAAGAATATAGCAAAAGCAATGAGATGTCATTTGTGAGATTAGGTTAACCAAGGTTTCTATTTCACTCACCCTCTCTCACTCTCTTGCTCATGGATCTGTTGGAAAGTCAGTTGCCATGTTGTGACATGTGTCATGTTTGGCAAAGAACTGAGAGGATTCATCAATTACATGACACTGAACAACTGAGGGCCTCAGTCCAACAGACCCTGAGAATCTGAATCTTGCCAACAATCACAGGAGTGAACTTGTTAGGAGATCATCTCCAAGTCAAGCTACAAATGGACCCTTGCGTGAGAGGCACCCAACTAAACTGCACCCAGTTTCCTGACTCTCAGAAACTCTAAGGTAGTAAATACTTCTTGTTGCAAATCACTTATTATGGGATAATTTATTTCACAGTAACAGCTAACATGTGAAACATAAAAGAAGAATACAAACAAATAATGCAAGAAATTTCACAAATGTAGACAGATGTAATCCTGCTAAATATAACAGTGAAGAAGAATAATTGTATACAAAGAATACTGCATCATAATTACAGGAATGGGTATTCCACATTACATAACTAACTCATATTATTTACCATGTAAAACAATCTATAAAGGAAAAAATGATAATCTCAATTTATTCAGAAGTATCTAATAAAATTCAACTTCTTCTAGGTGAAAACTTCAAACTGCTAATACAACTATTAAATTAACAGATGCACTTATAAAAATCTTACAGCAAGCATTATATTAAATGGTAAAATATTAATGTATTTACTATATTTTAACATCAGAACCAAGAGAAGTATATCCATTTTCTAGTCAGCATTTTACTTGAGGTGTTAGCCAAAGAAGTAAAAGAAAGTAAAGGTAAAAAAAATTAGTAAGGATTTTGAAAGAGAGAAAAAAATTATTTTCTAATGCAAAAGATTGTTTTATTCTATTACATTAAAATTTTGAACAATATATTTGTTCATTAAAAAACACCATAAGGTGAGTAAAAATGCTGAGCAGGGAATACATACAACACACAATTAGCAAAAAGTTATTATAGATAATAAACAGATTAAAATATAGTTTAATTATAAAACAGAAAAGGTGAAAAGTTGGCAAAAATAAACATAAATAGACATTTTGCAAAGGAGGACATACAAATGGCACATAAACATGTACATTACCACTTACCTCACTGACAACCAGGAAATATACATTAAACCCACAATAATATGTAATTTTATACCCCTCAGATTTACAAAAATGTAAAGCCACACAAGGTCTTGTCAAGATGTGTAAAGAGATGATGTAAGAATTCCAGAATGTGATAGTTTAAACTAGCACAATTTTAGAAAATAAATTAATATTTCTACTGAAGTTAATAAAACATGATGTAGCAATTCTATTTCACAGCATCAAGAGACATATACAAGAATATTCCTCAGAACATTCTTCTGGATTTCAAAAAACAACAATCAACCTTTAGGATTTCTAACAATAGTATGGGTTAAATCTTGTTTGCACATCGTGGAATATTTCACTCTAATCAAAAGGAATACTGCTATATTCATTCACTTGATTTAATATCCTAATCATGATATTGATTTAAAAAAACTAAAATCACAGATAGATTATTTAGTATAGTTCTTTTATGTAAATTTCAAAACAAGCAAAACTAGGTTATGCATACTTACGAACACAGATAGGTAAATATCACTAGTTAAAGCAAGAGCACAGCACAAAAGGCAGGAGAGTGGTAACCTCAGGGGTAAAGAGAAAGCTCTGTAGCTATTGCACAGCACACTTGGGATTCCTATAGGACTAGAAATATTTTATCTGAGTCTAATAATATGTCGAAGGGTATACATCTTATTATTATTCTTTAAATTCTGTGCACGCATTTTAGTATGTACATTTCACAATAAAAACTTTTGAAAACTTTAAAATGAGTTTTTAAATCTATGCAGTCTTGCAAAATATTTACCTCATTTTTATTCAAAAAGTATTTATTGTCAGACAACAACTAGGTATTTTCTAGCAAAATCATAAACCTCCTAATCACTGTTTTGAAAGGAGTAACCTCTCTACCATTGCTTTAAAAAAGAATTCCAAATCTGCGATTTTATTGAAAGCATTCTTCACCCTATGAGATATGTCATATAGTGTCTTTGAAATTATTTTTGAATTTTTTGTGAACTCATTACTTCAAAGCTGATGATTCTCTGTTCCTTATAGATTCAGGAGGTATCTAGATTTATGCTTTGCTGAAAAAAGAAAGCACTGGTGTTCACATAATGTTAATATCATAAATGCAAGAAATACAAAATCAGAGAGAAGAAAGGTGCAGTTTCTTTAGTTTTTCATCTTATCCCTCTGAAAGTCTGCCAAAGTACCCTCCTACCAACTAAACTGTGTGTTTGTGTGTGTGTGTGTGTGTGTGCGTGTGTGTGTGTATAAATAAGAAACTGACTGTTTTTTGAGCTGAGGTCTAGTTACTGCTATAATGAAAGCAATAATTTTAATTATTTACAAAAATGTTAAAACCAATTTATTTGACTAAAATACTTTTACCAAATAATTGACTAAATTATTTTACCAAATAATTAGTAAAAGGATCTATCTAAAATAAACACACATGAAATTTTTAATGAATCAATTTGTCATTTTATTCCAAAATATTAATGGTATAGCAATGTCTAAAATTATTTCTCTCATTTTCAGGTGAAAAACAATATTTTGAGCTAGACTTTCAAATATCTATTTAACTGTTTTCTTTAAAATTCTTCATATGAATGGCATGTATTCAAATGGCTGTTAAAATCCCATGCAAAGTCATAAGTACATTATAAAAGAAGTGGCATATACCAATGTGCTCCTGAGTGATGCATGATAGATTAATAAGCATTTGTTTAGTCAAATATATTTGAGATTTATTTAAATTCCATTATAATGCTTTGTAAGTGTTTAAATAAACAATCTCAAAAAAAAGCAAAGGTATATCTACATCTAGGTTTGGACAAGAGGCTTTGGTATCTCTTCTGAGAATATAACAAAATGCATATTGTTTGTAAGTGTCTTACTCAGATCTTTACACATCTTGGCCAATTTTGAATGTTTTGATTTGATTGTATTCAATTGATGGATTTATGATATTAAAAGAGATGTGATGTATTATTTTAACTTCAGAAGTGACATTTTGTTTTTCACTATTTTGTATATATATGGTGAAAACAACGCAATAGCCATTTGGCATTTATATAATCAAGAGTACAAATAACCTCCTTTTAATATTTCAATGTTCCTCATAACCATTACAAAAAGTTATAAATTATAAATAGTAAATTATAATGAAAATGCATAAATTAAAGGCAATATAAATTATAACGAAAATGCATAATACCATCTTGAGGATGGGGTTGGGAGGCATGCTAAAAGCTTCTAGAGCAAATTAAATTTTAATCAGATATTTAGGAATATAAGATAAATAAATTATTTTATTGGCAAACTGTAACAAAGTTTTGAATGTTTTCCTGAAGTATATGTAAAAAATGTAAAGTTTGACATTTGGGACTTAATGTTGAGTCTATTCTAGATTCCCACTTATTTACCTAAAACTATGGGGGAAGTGATGCCTGGATTTATCTCCATGAAACTTCATTACAGGCGGATCTCATACTATAGCTTGAGAGAATATGTCAGTAACAATGAGGCAGATAGAGAAGAATCAAGAACAATTTTCAATGCTCTATCATTTAAAATAGTCAATTCTCACATTATGAAATAAAAACTAATCTCTGGATTGGGCATCTGCTTCAACATTTCACAATGATTGTGAGGCAATCAGTATAGCTTTGCTCCTTTTACCAATTTAACAATTTTAGTATGTATTTAGAGAAGGGGCAGCTCAAAATGAATGGCATAAAATAAAAAAGAAATAGAATTGCCATAGTATATCCTTACATTTTTTTACCACACTATGCAGAAAGTACTAATTAATAGATAGATGAAAAAGTTAAAGCCCAGAGAAGTTATGTAAATTGCTAAAATTCACACAGGTATAAAGTAATTAAGGCAGGATTCTAAGCCATGCAGTCTGTCTCCAGAGCCCACACTCTTTCTTAGGTACTATTCTATAGGCCCAGAATAAGTTTTTTGAAATAATTTAAAATTTCAGAAGAAAAGGAAGAGCATAACTCTGAAACTTGTCTATTACATAGCCATGTAATCTTCAGAAAGGGGGAAGTTTAAAAATGCAAGAAAATACAGCAGCAGTTATCAAACAAACAAAAAAGAAGATTTAAAAAATAGGACGAAAAAAGTTGAAAGAATGAGATGACTGTAGACAGATCATATGGAAAAAGATTATGATGATTAAAGATACAATAGAGGATGAGTTAATGTATGAAAAATATTTAGTAAACCACCTAGCACATAGTATGTCACTAATAATTAGCTATTATAATTATTGTCAATCACTTACCTCTAAAGAAAGCAAGTTTGATACAGTCTTTGTTGCTAATTCGTTAATATATTTATTTGTTTCCCTCTGGGAGCCGTGGCTCATGCTTGTAATCTCAGCACTTTGGGAGGCCGAGGCAGGAGGATCACCTGAGGTCAGGAGTTCAAGACCAGCCTGGCCAACATGATGAAACCTCATCTCTACTAAAAATACAAAAATTAGCTGGGTGTGGTGGTGAGCACCTGTAGTGCCAGCTACTTAAGAGGCTGAGGCAGGAGAATCACTTGAACCAGGGAGGCGGAGATTGCAGTGAGCGGAGATGGCACCACTGCACTTCAGCCTGGCAACAAAGCGAGACTCCGGCTGAAAAAAAATGTGTATATATATATATATATATATGTTTCCAATTGGCAGTGGGTAGAGTGACAATCCTTGTCCTCACTGACTGCCAACACTATACTCATACCTGAATCTTGAGAGCAGGTTTATGTTCATGACTTCATTATCATGACTAGTCACTGACAGTCATTTCATTATTAATATTTGGTGAATTATTTCTAGGCTTTTACAGTGATTGTCAAATTTATAAAAATATGACCAATTAGATTTAAAGAAGTACACAAATATGAGCTCAACTTGTTCTGTTCCCTCACTTCTGGTTCTTTTAAATATCTTTCTCTTTCATTTATTCATTTGGTTACATGCATATTGAGCAACTATTAAAGTCAAGGCATGTTATAAGTGCTGTTTTGCTTACTATGTATTAGACCAAATTCTGGTATTGAATATAATAGAAAAGAATAGATCTAAGCTGAAAAGGAGATTATATATGAAAATAAAAATTTTTACGAAAGTCTAAGAGAAAAAATATGAAAGATAATGAGCTCAGAGACATCATGTTGGAGATGTTCATTATAAGAAATATAAATAAGGAAAAAAATCAATTTCAGTAAGAACTGAATAAATGTCTATAGGGCCCCATAAGTTTCTTCACAAATAAATTTGAAATTTATGAGGCAATGTCTACAAAGTGTGTGATGTGAATTTTTTTTGTTTGAAAATACTATGACCTGTCAAGTTTTCATTCATTAGTAATGTTAGAAAAGTTTTCTTAGCTATTCAAAGTTTCTGGAAAAACACAACTAAAGGGATTCTTCTTAAAAAATATATATAATGTGAATATTTTTCAATCCACTTGACAGAAAAATCAAAATCAGGAACTAAAGAATGTGAAAGAAATTATTATATGAAAGTAATTAAAACTAATTCTATAAAAATTTTATTCATCTTGTTATAAATCAGAATGTAAATGCCAACAATTTTTATTTACTGAATTAATATGAATGAAAAATCCAAGTCATATTAACAAAGATAGCGAGTCAATATTTACATTGCCTTTGTCAAGAAACTTGAACTACACCTTACCTCCCTCAGATCGATAGAGAAAACTGTTAGACACTTTTTGTAGTAACTGTTCTTCTTTTCCTCTAAGTGTGGCAACATGTCCGAAATGAACTTTGAAATCTTGCTTAAATTCACTACTTTATGGGCCGGATGTGGTGGCTCATGCCTGTAATCCCAGCACTTTGGGAGGCCGAGGCAGGCGGATCACGAGGTCAGGAGATCAAGACCATCCTGGCTAATATGGTGAAACCGCGTCTTTACTAAAAATACAAAAAATTACCCGGGCATGGTGGCAAGTGCCTGTAGTCCCAGCTACTCAGGAGGCTGAGGCAGGAGAATCGTTTGAACCCTGGAGGCGGAGGTTGCAGTGAGCCGAGATTGTGCCACTGCACTCCAGCCTGGTGACAGAGCAAGACTCTGTCCTAAAAAAAAAAAAAAAAAAAAAAAAAAAAAAAAAAAAATTCACTACTTTATGATTATCCAAGATATTCCAAAGATTTTCTGTTTCATTCAATAATGCACATATTTCTCCTTTCTTCTTCTCTCTTAAGGACATAGTTTATTGAAGACAAGGACAAATTATTTCTTCTACAATATGTTTCAGTTTGCTGAGAGAAGGTTGTATTATTAAAGTGTCATCAGTAGGCTTTGTCTATCATGGAGCATGAGGGTCCCATGGGTGACACCCATTTATGAAGTTTCAAGGGAGTACCTAACCACCAAGAGACACAAAGATAAAAATAAGCGAGTACTTCAGGAGAGTGTATTACAACTTTTATCACAGACTTTTTTACCTCTTTGAATACAAAGTGGGAACTTTCCTATTTTTCTACTGGTTTAGTGGTTTCTTTAGTGTCTAAAAATCTCAAGAGATTAAGACTATCCACATCGCTATGCTTCTTGATAATGGCTACCTCATAATCATTTTGTTTCTCATATCCATAGAGTCCTAAATGGTTAAAAATAGTAACTTAATTGTTCATTTCTACCACTCATACAAAAATAATAGTATAGAGCAGTCTTGTCAGTAACAGATTCACTGAAGACATTCTTTCTTTCTCTTATAGACAGCCTGATTCACTGAAGACATTCTTTCTTTCTCTTATAGACAGCCTGACACAGCCCCTCTCCAGGGCTCCAACTTTTACCACCAACCATCAACCTTGAGGCCTTAGAAACCTATCCATTGACATAAAAGTTCCCTTCATAATTCCCTCAGAATTGAGGAAGTACAATTAGAGGACTTACGAAAATAGAATCCCTGATGTTCTTCTGTGATTCCTAGAATATTTATTTCTACTCTATTTCATCAGTCAAATAGATCACTGGACAATTATGATTTGATAGTGGTCATGAAAAAGCTGTGCAGGAAAACACATCATCAAGATTTCTAGGCCTGAAATAAATAAACGTTTATGCAGAAAATTGAAGAAAGACAACCTAATCATGAGCATTGTTTTTTCATTTTCACCTGGACAGTAGATATATTTAAAACACATGCAGAAGTCTTCTTAACTATATAACGGTAAGACAAAAAGCATTTTCTGATAAAGTCATTAGATGAAGTCTAGAGTTCCTAAGATGGAACTCTAACATACTCTGGTTTATATCAGTGCTGTTGCTTTACACACCACACTAATTGTTTCCATTAAGCTATTGGAATTTTAGAGTCATTGCTTAAACACCCATGGTACATTAAATAATTCTGAGATATACAACTCTGGTATGGATATATTTAATTGCTTTTGGAAAGCCTTAGTTAAAAATAAATATACATTTTTAAATATAACACCAATAAAATTAAAGAACACATTCTAGAACCAGAATAAATAGGAAACAGTTGATAACTGAAAATTCAACAGAAACAAAACAGGGAAAGTAAAAGTCTCTCATCCTGCTGGAATCTTTGTCACTGACTGTCAAAAACAAAAGTGTGAAAGCTTTGATGAGTCCAGTTAGTGCAATGCAGGGATCAAAGTGTCAGACTGATAGAATCAAAGGGAGCAAAATGAAGTAGTAATGTTATGCACCAGATTTGAAACCATGGCAATGATGAGAGGTTCTCTCAGAATGGAACAGGGAAGCTTTGATTAGTGCACCTTGTTTGTACTCTGAAGGCATCAAAGTGGCAAATGCGCCTGGATCAAATGGGGCAGAATGCAATGGGTAATGGAGCACTCAGAGCTCACCAGAATTTAAACAGAGATGCTGATGATGTGGTGGAGGCCAATGCACACATTCCCATCTGGCAGCTGGGAAAAAAAAAGAAAAGAAAGGGGAAAAAAAGAAATAATTTTAATCACTTGAAAGCTAGCTGATTAGGACACAAGCAAAGGATAAAATAGCATTTGCAATTATTGCATGAATTTAGTTTTAGTGAAAACTTTTTAAAACTGGGGGAATATTACCAGTTGTTTGCTATTTATTGTGCTTGATGTATTCCATATTCATTCCAAATAGAACAAATCAGATTTGTATCAGGTTTGTTAATTCAAAAAGTAAATTACCTTTCAACTTGAATATGTGTAAATCTATTTATGTTAGGATGATTTTTATGTGTTTATTATACCTCTGGGGTCCGTTACACAGGTCGGATTCATTTTACAGTTGATTCTGCATTTGCAGGGATTTTGCATTCCATTGAAATCAATTCCATTTGAAGGTTAAGTCTTAAGACATCTGTCTAACTCATTTGATTCAATTCTGTTTTCTTCCTTCAGGAGTTAATGTGCTTGTGATTAACATATGAGTATATTATTGGAATATTAAAACATCTAACTCAAATATTCCCTAACATACCACAGTGATAATATTTTACCTAAAAATATAGAATGGTATTTAACTGTATTAACATTACAATAAAATTAAATGTCATTGGTATCATTGTTAGGATTAATATTAATAGCTACAGAATGCAACTCCTATATCCAAAGATGTATACTAGTTACTTTATAGCATTTATTATATGTCATTCTTACAACACCTCTCTAAATGGGCATTGCCATGGTGGGATAAGATTTTCTGGTGACTTGGAGAAGTAAATGCATTTTGCAAATGGAAGGGAAATTAATAATTATGACCAAGAGATCAGGCAGAGTTATATTGTTTGCTTACATGTTTTCCTCTTTGTAAACCTTGCTATGACTGCCCCTGTCTGAAGAGTAAATTCTGCTGCTCATTGAGTTTGGATGTTGCCTTGAGATTTGCTTTAGCCAATACAATATTAGCAGAAATTATGAGTAGAGACATTGAATGTACTCATATTTTTGGCTTTCACTCTTGCCATTTTGCCATCTACTTTGAGAAGAATATGCTCCAGGTAGCCATGGCTGTAAGAGAATCAGCAGATCAGTGGAGTGAATGGAAATCCAATGCAGAATCTTTAGCTTAGTCTAGCTCATCTTTGAGCCCAGTGGAGCCTTGATGTACCAAAAGAATAAAAGACAACACAAAGTTGGCCTTAATCGTCATGCGCCATTCTTTTGGAAATAGCTCTCCAAAACAGCATTATGCCTACCTGCATGTACAGGTAGAGAGGTCTTGATAAAATATGCACAGTTCTCTAATTGAAGGCATTTATCCTTTGAAGCAGAGATTGTAGTTATTACCCAGGTACTACTACTTCCTCTATTATTATTCTGCTTTCCTAGTTTCCCCAAAAGGGCTTTGCATGGATTACTAAGTTGCCAGATCTCTGTAGAGTGTATTCAGTAATGTGTTCTCACAAGAGCAATAGGGGATGGAGAAACCTACTTCCTGTACCTCTTGAGCATTGCCACTCACAGGGTGATGCTGATTGTACATCTGTTCTTCCAGGTCTTTGAAAAATCTGTCTTTTTCTTATCTTACATTTGTTTTATTTCACATTACTTCTTATAAGGCTGTTTTTAAATTTTGTAACAAAACCATCAAACAGTTGAGTCTCAAAAAATTGTTTTTTCACTCCAGTTTTAATTATTCAATGTGTAGGGTCACATGTAGGCAATTCAACAAAGTGGCAGGTATATTTTTTAAATATGCTATTGATATGCTTCTGAAAGTGAGAGAAATTTCTACTTACGATGAAGTTGTAAGGTCACACAACCTTGCTTAAAGAATAGCTGAACCCATTGCAATACATTTCTTTATTCAGCAATGAAAGTCGATGTTTGTGGAATATGGAGGAGATTTTTTTAAAAATTAAAATAAGATAAAAATGTTTCCCTCAACAATTAGCTTATTTGGAGATTGAATAAAAGTAGAAATCTTATGTATAGCTACATTGAACAAAATAGTGATAAATATCTGACCCAGAAATGAACAAATTCTGCTCATTCTTTAGGATACTGCTTTAACTTTAAAAAGATCATATATTATAAGGTAACTGAATATTTTTAACATTATAAAATTCAAATATCTCTGCTAAAATTTAAACTGTATTGCAATTTACTTATGGGAACAGATAATTTTTTAAAATATGAGGAAATGTCCTTTAACAAAAAGTGACAGTGTAACCATAAATAATATTTTGATTGATTTTTTTTTTTTTTGAGACAGATCTTACTCCAGTTGTCCAGGCCGAAGTCCAGTGGCATCATCACAGCTCACTGCAGCCTTCATTTCCCAGGCTCAGGTGATTCTTCCTCTTCAGCCTCCTGAATAGCTGAGACTATAGGTGCACACCACGAAGCCTGGCTAATTTTTGTATTTTTTGTAAAGATGGGATTTCACCATGTTGGCCAGACTGTTCTCAAACTCCTGGGCTCAAGTGATCTGCCCACCTTGGCCTCCCAAAGTGCTGGGATTACAGGAGTGAGACACCATACTGGCTTGATTGTTGAATTTATTAATATCATCCTCCTCTAAACATCTGGACTGATACCCTGATTTACACACAAAACAGAGCCAAGAACCTTTTATTTATTTCTTTTTTTTTTTTACATTTTTACAGTTTTTTTAGAGACAGGGTGTTATTATGTCCCCCAGGCTGGAGTGCAATGGTGCAATTATAGCTCACTGCAGCCTTGAACTCCTGGGTTCCAGTGATTCTCCTGCCATAGACTTTCGAGTAGCTAGCAGTGTAGGTGTATGCCACCATGTCAGGCTAATTTTTTATTTTTTATTTTGTAGAGATGGGGTCATGTTATGTTGCCCAGTGTGGTCTTGAACTCCTGTGCTCAAGTGAACCTCCTGCCTTGGCCTCCCAAAGTGCTGTGACTAAAAACATGAGCCACTGTGCTCTGTTAAATATTTCAATTACTAATATTTTCAAATTATTTTTAATTGATGATTAAGGCTCTTGTTGAGTCTTCATTAACAGATATTATAGGCATTAAATGAAAAAGTTTTCTGTGTAAAGTTGAGACAATAGACTAGATGATGGCATAGAAATTATATATACATGCTATTAATTTAGAGGTAACTAAAGGATATAAAATAACTTTTAAAAACTTGAAGGAAAGTATAGAAAAAAATAAATTTCAATCAAAGTAAAATAAAACAGAAAGCCAAACAGGAGCTTTTATAAAATGAGGAGACAAGGGTGGAATAAAACAAAATAAAATGTTAAACTCATGGCCGGGCACGGTGGCTCAGGCCTGTAATCCCAGCGCTTTGGGAGGCCGTGGCAGGAGGATCACAAGGTCAGGAGTTCGAGACCATCCTGGCCAACGTGGTGAAATCCCGTTTCTACTAAAAATACAAAAATTAGCTGGGTGTGGTGGTGGGCACCTGTAATCCCAGCTACTCAGCAGGCTGAGGCAGGAGAATTACTTGAACCTAGGAGGTGGAGTTTGCAGTGAGCCGAGATCGCACCACTGCACTCCAGTTTGGTGATGGAGCGAGATTCTGTCTCAAAAAAAACAAAAAACAAAAGTTAAACTTATATATCAGTGTTTTAGTCAGTTTAGGTGGCTTTGACAAAATAACACAAACTTGGTGGCTTGAATAGCAGAAATTTATTTTCTTCCAGTTCTGAGGGCTGGGCAGTCCAAGATCAGAGCGCCAGCATGGCCCAGTTCTGGGGAAAGATCTCTTCTAGTCTTACAAATGGCCGATCTCTTGCTATGTGTTCATGTGATCTTTCCAAAGTACCTAGGCATGGAGAGAAAGAAAGCAAGCTCTCTGGTGTCTTTTTTTATGAAGGCACTAATCCCATTATGAGGTTTCCCCACCCTTATGGCCTCATCTAATTCACATTGCCTCTCCAAGGCTCAGTCTCCAAATAAGGCCACATTGGGGATTAGAGATTCAACACATGAATTTAGAGGGGACAGGAACATTTAATCCATAACAGTCAGTAATCACAGTTGATGTGTAAATTTCACCTTTAAATAGTCTTTAAATTACAACACAAAATAACAGAAAATCAAGAAGAATAATTAAGCCGTCATTACACAGAAAGATTTTTAACACATTTATCAAAATTCAATTAACTATGGAATATTTAATTATTACACCAATTGTAATAAAGGAAAGAGCAACCATAAACACAGACACATATACAAACTCCCATATATATTTATACATACACACACATACATAAACATATATTTGTAAATATATGAGAAATAGATATTTTAAATAATGAAAAAATGTTAAAAATTAATATGGATCTGAGGCAAAAGCCAAATTTGAGGTTGAAAACAAATATCACCATCATAAAATGAAAACAGTATTTACAGTAGATCTGAAATATTCTTAAAACAATAATTATTTTACCTCTATTATTAAATATAAAATTTCAATTCAAAAATAAAATTTACAATTCAGTTACAAAAATTTTTTAGCATGTTGCTCAATTGCTTCTGCCAACAGTATGCTGCAGATTTTCAACATAAATAAATTTTGGGTTTCAACTAAGGTCATTGAAAGTGTATGGAAAAGACAGTGATAACTCCCTATTGCATTTTCCTCTCAGGTACATTGAAAAATTGTATTTCCCACAGTCTCTTGCAGTTAGTAGTTCATGAAACTTAATTCTGGCCACTAAAAACACATATAAATTAATCATCTCCAAAATTTCATTTAATACTTCTGCCCTATTAAATATCTTACTCATCTTTAATGAGTCATATTCAAAGATGTACATTGTGCAATTTTTGTTGTAGTGAAAAACAGAAGGAAAAACATTAATATCTATTAAATGTTAATAGTTAAATATATGTAGTATAGACAGACATGAACATACTATGTAACTTTGAAAAGAATGAACTACATTGACATGTATCTACATGGATCTACCACAAATACACATTATTTAGTTTCTTTAAAAGGTTCAGAAAAATTAGTATTGTCTAGAATTATTTTAGCCTTCAACCAAAAAAAAATGCCAAAAGTAAAATATTAAACTGTGTTTGCCTGTGTAGATAAAAAATGTAAAAACTATCTGGAAGTATAGCACCC
This sequence comes from Homo sapiens, assembly GCF_000001405.40. Lineage (NCBI taxonomy): Eukaryota > Metazoa > Chordata > Mammalia > Primates > Hominidae > Homo > Homo sapiens. The sequence continues at coordinate 132,905,170 of NC_000004.12, read as the reverse complement.
AAAATCATAAATGTGGTCTTCAGTTGAAGAGAAGGAAAGAAGATAAGAATTGGATGAACTTGATGGATGGAGATTTTAGGTTTATTTATTTATTTATTTATTTATTTTGAGACAAAGTCTCACTCTTGTCCCCCAGGCTGGAGTACAATGGCACAATCTCGGCTCACTGCAACCTCCACCTCCTGGGTTCGAGTGATTCTCCTGTCTGAGCCTCCCAAGTAGCTGGGATTACAGGCATGCACCACCACGCCCAGCTAATTTTTGTATTTTTAGTAGAGACGGGGTTTCACCATGTTGACCAGGCTGGTCTCGAACTCCTGACTTCAGATGATCTGCCCACCTAGGCCTCCCAAAGTGCTGGGATTACAGGCATGAGCCACTGCGCCCAGCCAGATTTTAGGTTTATTTTAAACATCTTTTTTTTTTCTTTTAACTAAAGGAGATCCATGTGTTAATTGCATATTTAAATTAATTATAAAATTAATTAAATTTTAACAATAAATCTATCATTTCTACAAGTATTGTCTCTCATTCAGTTAAAGTCTTACTTGCATCCATTTTTCCTTACATACTATAGTTTATATTTATCTATTATCTTTATATCACTTAGTATGTTCTCCCATTTGTTTCCATTTTTCTTACATTCTGGTGTTACTTACACATGAAGCAATGTGTGCCTGGCTGATCATCATCAAACTTTTGTTATCAGCAGTTCTCACTCTGGGGTGGGAGAGTGGGGGATGCTGAAATAACAGAATCTCTAAAGAGGATAGGGAATCTATAGTGTCAAAATACATTGATTATAATAGAATTCCAAATAATACAGATTTCAGGAATGTCAATGGCAAAATCTTCCTTACTGATGAGGAGATGCAAATGATGGAAACTCCACAAGCCAAGAAATAAGTAAAAAATTAGTTTAGGAAGAATTACCACAATTATTTTTCTTCTGCAGTCTAGGATTATTTAGCATTCATCTTGCACTGCTTCACATGAAGGTTACTGTAGCAAAAGCCCCCAGCTCCTTGTCCACCAAGATTCTAGGTTTTTAATCTATACTTAACATTCAGAGCACAGTTCTAGATGGCCTCTGCTTTACTTCCTGTTTTCTCTTTCCTTTTCTTGCCACAACAACACTTCTCTCTATCTAATTCTTCTGGTCTTAAATTCTTCATCATAGTCAAAACCCATTCTTTCTGTATAGAGGCCTAGTATCCACATTAAGAAGTAAAAACTAAATGAAAAAATAGAAAGAAATACAAAGGATTTTTTTTTGAAGAATTGTTTTGGATGTGGAGAGCAAAGTGGCTGATACATAAGAAGGCGAGATAAGGCAACATCAGCAATTTTAAACTGGTGACTTTCAGTGTGAGACAGAATAAATTTATAAAAGTTTATATCTCTTGTGGAAATATTTTTAAAACTTTTTGTTTTAAAATCTTAAGATTTTAAAACAAAGTTTAAACTTTGTTTAAAAAACTTAAGATTTTAAAACAAAGTTTAAACTTTGTTTAAAAAACTTATGATTTTGTGTTTGCATATATAAGTAAAAAGAATATAATTAGCAATTATAGTGATGTTCTAGCTTGATAGGGAATGAAAATGATTATCACCAGAAGTCTTTTTTTTCTTTTTCTTTTTTTTTCTTTTATTATTATTATACTTTAAGTTTTAGGGTACATGTGCACAATGTGCAGGTTAGTTACATATGTATACATGTGCCATGCTGGTGTGCTGTACCCATTAACTCGTCATTTAGCATTAGGTATATCTCCCAATGCTATCCCTCCTCCCTCCCCCCACCCCACAACAGTCCCCAGAGTGTAATGTTCCCCTTCCTGTGTCCATGTGTTCTCATTGTTCAATTCCCACCTATGAGTGAGAACATGCGGTGTTTGGTTTTTTGTCTTTGTGATAATTTACTGAGAATGATGATTTCCAATTTCATCCATGTCCCTACAAAGGACATGAACTCATCATTTTTTTATGGCTGCGTAGTATTCCATGGTGTATATGTGCCACGTTTTCTTAATCCAGTCTATCATTGTTGGACATTTGGGTTGGTTCCAAGTCTTTGCTATTGTGAATAGTGCTGCAATAAACATACGTGTGCATGTGTCTTTATAGCAGCATGATTTACAGTCCTTTGAAAATGATTATCACCAGAAGTCTTATGGGTCCTCGGTGACAAAATGGTGTTGAATTATCATAGTCCAATAAATGGTCTTGAATTTTGTCGGTATCACACTGTACAAATAAAAGTCATAAGCGGTCAAAATAAACAACTGCTTTATTTCTATAATTATAGTTTTTACATTTCTACTGTGTGTCATACATACTGCAATTTGCTTACCAATAGTTTAGCTATATATTTGTATGTTTTATATATACATATAGTATATAAAATAAAATACAAGATATATATATACACACATACTCATTTTAGAATATATATGTATTTAGCATATCTATCTATATCTTTATATAAATTTTAGTGTGTGTGTATATATACATATACATTGGGACCATCTGGTAAAATGTAAGTAGTTGTGACAGGACCAAAAGAAATTAATTTATGTGAATGGATTTGTTCGCTTTGTACAAAATTTTATTGTCCTCATTTTACATCTTCCAGTCATCTGGTAGTTCAGCGATCATAGGAATATTCTCATGGCAGATAGTAGAAGCACAAAAGGGATGGGCAGAAACATGCCGAGTTCCCTAAGTTTTTGTTTTTAAACTAACATTGTGACTTCTACTCACATTCCATAGGCTTTCGCCAAAGCCCATCATCTGACTAGGCTTGATATCCACAGGGTTGAAATGTGTACTCAGGCTTCAGTGAAGACCAGTGCAAAGTTACATGACAAAGGACATGTATGTACAGTACTATTAATATTACAGGGAGGAAGCAACCAATCTGTCACAGAGATTGTACTGTTACACCTCCCTACTCTTGCCTCTTTCAACCTACTTCTTGCTGATGATATTAGCTTGCTGATGATACCCTTGCTTCATGCAGCCAGGGAATGGCAGAACTTTGGCATCTAACTCAATGTACTCCTAGAAAGAGTGCTTCTTCCAGTACTTGGTGTAGATAAGTTCCATTAAATTGAAAGAAATATTAAAGAGTGAGAGTTAAGTTAGCAGGAAAATATAAAAGAAAATATATAAATTGAATTATGCTCACTGATACAGCTGACTTTTTTAGTCATTAACAAAATTTCAAGAAAAGGAATTTTAAGCAATGTTTTAATTAGATGGGTTTATTTATTGGTCTAAACTATTTAACAAGTGCTTATAGTTAAGTTTTATAATAGGTACTAGGCATAGTGATTAAAGATGTAACTGATTTTTGCTTTTTTGGGGAACCATAAAAATATGAATACAGCAAAAGAGTTATTAGAAGGAATTTCTTATATATAGGCAAAAGATAACATGGTTATATAATATTGAAGGTAGTGAAGATACTTAGGGACGTGGAATGGATAGAAATTTGTGTGTCTATGAGTTGAAGAATAGATGTCTAGGATAATTTCAAGTTTTATGGTTTGTGTACATATGATTGTACAATTCACAGAAATGCATATTAATATTAATAGAGGAAAATTTTAAGGAAGAAATGTAAACATTCATTTCTGAAGATGTATAGTAAGAGATAGTTGTGATAAACCTCAGTTTAAATGCAAAGTAGTGAGTAAATATATAATGTTGGACTTCAGAAAATAAAGTGGATATATACTAAAGTGAATTGTCAGCATAATTCTGGCTTTAAAACTTATGACAACAGATAACATCTATTTGGAAAAAAATGGAGAATAGAAGCGTAAGTATGACAGAATTGAATTTAGCTCTTTTCCACAGATATTTACATGTCAGTTATTACACAGAGGATATAAAAAGGTTGCTGAGAAGGAGGAGACAAAAGGATAAATGTGTAATATGAAGCCAAGGAAGAATAGATTGCAAGAACTGAGACATAGTCCGCTTTATGTGATGTTATTGGAATGATTAAGCTGAGGACTAAAACTGATTTAATGGATTTAGCAAGAAAGGACAAAATTTAGCAAGAACAGTTTTGATGAAGAGGTAGGAGTTAATCGTGAAATTTTTACTTTGCAGGCAACCTAAGAAGTTTGAAGTACTAAGATATTTATTTATTTATGTATTCGATACAGTAAACTCTTAAATTGAATTGATATGGAAAGCCATTCCTGGGAAATGTGCCCTGGTAAGACAGGAGGAGTTATAAATTGTAACTTTTATTTTTTCATCATGAAAGCCCTTGATATAAATAAAAGCTTCATTGATCAGATATAAAATTACAACATTAAATGTCAGTTTCAGTAAAAAAAAAATACTTCTGGACAGCCAGAATAGAATGAAATAAAATCTCCTTTGCTAGGCATGCAAATCTCTAGGGTAATATATTTACCTCAATATTGTGTCCCATATTTCATGACTCAAACAGATCCATGAAATTATTTCTAGATGTAAAATGTTTTGGGGTGACAGGGAGCAATGAAAAATTTAGTTGAATCTAGGAATGCATAGAATTGTATTGCTGAAATAGGTTTCTTTTCAAAACTAATTGTCATTTTTTTTCTGTTTCAAAAGAGAGAAGATTTACATTGTCCCCAAATATCAGGCTTCTGCTTGTCCTAAAACTTCAAAGACAAAACCTTTGCTCAAATAGAATGAATAAATCCCTGAAATAAAAACTAATCAAAATATTCATCTAATAATATACATTTCCAGCAGTCTTTGAGGAAAGAAAATTGCATTATTAAAATTTAGCAAAGAATTGTACTTGAAGTTTCTTCAACAATTCCACCCACCTTTCTTCCCCAGTTTGGTGTTAACACAAGCTCTAATTATCATGAAATCAGTTCTCAGAGACTGACCATGGTAGTTTTGCTCAAATTCTAGTTCTGTAGTTGTCAGGAATGCCTGTAAAGTAATCGATGGATTTGATGGAAAGTTCAGATCAGATTTTCAATGAGGAATAAAATCTGAGTTCACAGATATACATATAAATTTGGTATAAACACAAAACTAATATCCAGTAAGACATACATTCTGTTAAGAAGCAAAAAGATACACTCTAATCAATTATTTAAATAATTTAATCTTATAATTCATAATCACATTATTTGGGACACAATATACAGTTTGCCCAATTTGTTCGATAATACTTTTGGCTAGAACAATAGGGTTTATTTGTTTATGTATTTCCAGATTCACATATTTATTTTTATCTATTTATTTATATAAAAATAACATAGAATATAGTAAAAATTCAAATGGGACAGAAAAGTATAAAATAAAAATAAAAGTCTCATAATGAAGACCGTCTTTCCAAATATATTATTATTTTCTAGTCATCATAGACATTTTAAATTGACAAGTAATATCTGTATATTTATGCTGTACCACATAATGTTTTGATATATATATGTCTGCATTATCTTATATACTTACCATTTTTGTGTATGCATGGTGAGAAAACTTAAAATTATTCTCAGCAATTTTCAATTATACAATATATAGAGCATATATATATATATATATATATATATACACATACACACAGAGACAAGTACAGTTAATTGTTATTAACTGTAGTCATCACGATGTACTATAGGGTCCTTGAACTTACTCTTTCTGTGTAACTGAATTTTTGTGTCCTCTGACTAACATCTCCACAGTCACTCCACCCCCAAGCCTCTGGTAACCACCATTCTACTGTCTTTCTATGACTTCAAATGTTTTACATTCTATATATAAGTGAAATTATGCAATGTTTGTCTTTTAGTGTCTGGTTTATTTCACTTAACAGTTTCAGGTTCATCCATGATGTTATAAATGATAAGATTTACTTCCCTTTTTTAAGGTTAAATAGTATTCTATTATTTATAAAGGACACATTTTCTTTAAAAATGTATCCATTGATGGACACTTAGATTGATTCAATAACTTGGCTGTTGGGAATAATGATGCAATGAACATGGAAGTGCAGATATCTTTATGACATACTGATTTAATATACTTTGGATGTCTTCCCAGAAGTGGAGTTGCTAGATTTTTACAGTAGTTTGATTTTTAACGTTTTGAGGAAACTTCATACTGTTTTCCACAATGATTGTATACATGGCTAAACAGATGTGGGAATGGCTGTACATTCCCACCAGCAATGTACAATGGCTCTCTTTTCTCCACATCCTTACCAACATTTATCTTTTCCTTTCCATAATTGCCATTCTAACAGGTGTGTGGTAATATCTCATTGTGGTTATAATTTACATTTCCTTGATGATTAGTGATATGAAGCATTTGTCTTATAGCTGTTGACCATTTGACTGCCTTCTTTTGAGAAATATGTATTCTTTTCCTCCAGCCATTTTTTTTTTTTTTTTTTTTTTTTTTTTTTTGAGACGGAGTCTCGCTCTGTCGCCCAGGCTGGAGTGCAGTGGCGCGATCTCGGCTCACTGCAAGCTCCGCCTCCCGGGTTCACGCCATTCTCCTGCCTCAGCCTCCCGAGTAGCTGGGACTACAGGCGCCCGCTACCACGCCCGGCTAATTTTTTGTATTTTTAGTAGAGACGGGGTTTCACCGTGTTAGCCAGGATGGTCTCGATCTCCTGACCTCGTGATCCGCCCGCCTCGGCCTCCCAAAGTGCTGGGATTACAGGCGTGAGCCACCGCGCCCGGCCTCCTCCAGCCATTTTTAAACTGAGTCATTTGTCTTCTCATTATTCAGTTGTTTGAGTTATTTATATATTTTGGAAATTGACCCCTTGTCAGATGTATGATGTAGGTTGTCTTTTCACTCAATTGATTGTTTCTTTTGCTGTGCAGAAGCTATTTAATTTGATGTAATCCCATTAGTCTATTCTTGCTTTTGTTGCCTGTGTTTATGGGTTCATATTTTAAAAAGTTATCCAAATCAGTGTTGTGTAGTGTTTTTCTCTGTTTTCCTTTAATATTTCTACAAATTTAGGCTTTATATTTAAGCATTTGATCCATTTTGTGTTGATTTTTGTGTATGGTATAAGGTAAATGTCCAATTTTATTCTTTTTTATATAGATATCCAGTTTTCTAAACACCATTTATTGAAGAGTCTGCTCTTTTTTCATTTTGTGTTATTGATATATTTGTCAAAAATCAATTGACCATACATGCATGGCCTCATTCCTGGGTTCTCTATTCTGCTCCATTGGACAATGAATCCACAGTTGACCCTTGAACAATGCAGAGGATAAGGGCATCGACCTCCATGCACAGTCAAAAATCTGTGTATAACTTTCAACTCCCCCAAAACTTAACTACTGATAGCCTACTATTGATAAGAATACTTACAGATAACATAAACAGTAGGTTGACACATGATTTTTTAAATGCTATGTATATATTATCTGCTCCATTCTTACAATACAGTAAGCTAGAAAAATAAAATGTTATTAAGAAATAATAAGTAATAAAAATGTATTTACTATTCATTAAATGCAATCAGATCATCATACAGTTCTTCATCCTTGTCTTCATGTTAAGTAGGCTGAGGAGGGGAGCAACAAGAGGGTTTGGTCTTGCTGTCTCAGAAGTGTCAGTGGCAGAAATAAATCTATGTACAAGTGGGCATGTGCGGTTCAAACTTGTGTCGTTCAAGGGTCAACTATATTTTAATGCCAGTACCATGTTATTTTAATTGCTATTGCTTTGTAGTGCAGTTTGAAATCAGGTAGCATGATGTTCCCAGGTTTGTTCTTGCTCAGTATTGTCTTGGTTATTCAAGGCTTTTTGTGGTTCCATATACATTTTATAATTTTTTTCTCTTTTTATAAAGAATGGCATTGGAATTTTGATAGGGATTGTTTTGAATTTGTAGATCACTTTGGGTAGTATGGACATTTCAACAATATTAATTCTTCCAATTCATGAACATGGGATATCTTTTCATTTATTTGTTTCTCTTTCAAATTTTTTCATTAATATTTCATAGTTTTCAGTGTGCAAGTCTTCCATCTCCTTTGTTAAATTTATCCTTAAGTATTTTATTTTTGTAGCTATTGTAAATAGGATTTTTCTCTTTCTTTTTCAGAAGAAACAGTATATAAAATCATTACTAGTTTTTGTGTGTTGATTTTGTACCCTGCGACTTTACTATATTCATTTATTAATTCTAATAGGTTTTTTTGTGCAATCATTATGGTTTTTATATATAAGATCATACCATCAGCAAACAGATAAAATTTCACTTTTTCCATTCCTATTTGAATGACTTTCATTTCTTTTTCTGCCTAATTACTCTGATGATGACTTCTAATACTATGTTGAATAGAAGTGGAAAGCGTGAATATCTTTGTCTTTTTCCAGATCTTAAAAAACCCAGAAAGTCTTTCAAATTTCACCACTAAGTATAATGTAAGCTGTGGGCTTATGATATATGGCCCTTATTGTGTTTAGGTACATTATTTCTACATCTAATTTGTTGAGAGTTTTAATCATAAAAGAATGTCGTATTTTATGAAATGATTTTTCCGGATCTAACGAGATAATCATGTTTTTGGTCTACTAATGGTATGTATCACATGTATTGATTTGCATATGTTGAACAATTCTTGTATCCTCGGGATAAATCCCAATTGATCATCGTAAATGACCCTTTTAATGCATTGTCAAATTTGTTTTTTGCCAGTATTTTCTTGAGAATTTTTGCACTTATGCTCCTCAAGGATATTAGCTTGCAGGTCTGTAGTTTTCTTTCCTTGTGATGTCCTTCCCTGGCTTTGGTATCAGGGTAATTCCAGCCTTGTGAAAAGGATATAAACATTCCATCCTCTTTGATTTTTTGAAAGAGTTTGTGAAGGACTAATATTAGTCTTTAAATATTTGGTGGAATTCCATAATGAAGCCTTCAGGTCCATGGCTTTCTTTTTTTTTATTTTTTTGGAAAGCTTTTTATTACTAATTCAAGCTCTTTACTTGTTATTGGTCTATTCAGATTTTCTCTTGCTTCATGATTTAGCTTTGTTAGGTTTTATGTGTCTATAAATGTTTCTTTTATTCATAATTGTTTAACTTATTGGCATATTGTTCATAATAATCTCTTATGATCCTTTTGTTTTCCATGGTATCAGGTATAATGTCTCCTCTTTAATTTCTGATTTTATTTATTCGAGTCTTCTTTTTTCTTAGTTTAACTAAAAGTTTGTACATTTTCTTTATCTTTTCAAAAAACCAACTCTTACTTTCATTGATCTTTGTATGGTTTTACTAGACTCTTTTATTAATTTCTGCTCTGATCTTTATAATTTTCTTTCTTCTACTAACTTTGGGCTTAGTTTCTTTTTCTTTTTCTTGTTTTTTTTTTTGAGGTGTAACATTAAGTTGTTTCTTTGAGATCTATTTTTTTTATTTAGGCATTTATTAATATAAACTTTCCTCTTAGAATTGCTTTTGCAGCATCCTGTAAGTGTTGGTATATTATCTTTTCATTTTTATTTGTCTAAAGTATTTTTTTATTTCCCTTTTAATCTTTTGTTGACCTATTGGTTATTCAGGGCATGTTGTTTAATTTCTATATATTTGATAATATCTTGAAGTTCTTCCCATTACTGATTTCTAGTTTCATAGCATTGTGGTCAGACAAGATACTTGATATGATTTCAATCTTTTGTAAATTTGTGAAGACTTTTCTTTTGACTTAACGTAGTGTTTATCCTAGTGAGTGTTTTATATACACTTGAAAAAAAATGTGTATTCTGGTACTGTTGGATGGAATGGTCTGTATATTTCTGTAAAGTTCAACTTGGTTTAAAGTGTTGTTAATGTCCATTGTTTCTTTATTAATTTTCTCTTTGAATGATCTATCCATTATTAAAATTGGAGCATCGAAGTTCTCCCATTTTTACTGTACAGTATTCTATCTCTCCCTTCAGATATTTTAATATTTGCTTTATATATTTAGGTGCTCCAACATTGAGTGCGTATATATTTACAACTGTTACATCTACTTGATAAATTGACCTCATTATAATTATATAATGTCCAACTTTGTCTCCTTTTACAGTTTTTGACTTAAATTCTATTTTGTCTAATATAGGTATAGCTACTCCTGCTTTATTTTGGCTTCTGTGTGTAGGGAACGTATTTTTCCATCCCTTTACTTTGAGTCTGTATGTCTGCTTAAAGGTAAAATTAATCTCTTTTAGACAGCATATAATAGGAGTTCTCTTATTTAATTTAATTTTATTTATTTTTTTTAAATTATACTTTAAGTTCTAAGTATATGTGCACAACGTATAGGTTTATTACATAGGTATACATGTGCTATGTTGCTTTGCTGCACCCGTCAACTCGTCATTTACATTAGGTATTTCCCCTAATGCTATCCCTCCCCCATCTCCCCTCTCCCGAACAGGCTCCAGTGTGTGATGTTCCCCGCCCTATGTCCACATGTTGTCATCATTCAGTTTCCACCTATGAATGAGAACATGTGGTGTTTGGTTTTCTGTCTTTGTGACAGTTTGCTGAGAATGATGGTTTCCAGCTTCTTCCATGTCCCTGTAAAGGACATGAACTCTTCCTTTTTTATGGCTCCATAGTATTCCATGGTGTATATGTGCCACATTTTCTTAATCCAGTCTGTCATTGATGGACATTTGGGTTGTTTCCAAGTCTTTGCTGTTGCGAATAGTGCAGCAATAAACATACGTGTGCATGTGAATTTATAGTAGCATGATTTATAATCCTTTGGGTATATACCCAGTAACAGGATTGCTGGGTAAAATGGTATTTCTAGTTCTAGATTGTTGAGGAATCACCATACTGTCTTCCAAGGAGTTCTCTTTTCTTAATCCGTTTAGTCACTTTATGTCTTTTCATTGGAAAATTTAATCTCTTTACATTCAAGATGATTATTCATAGCTAAGGATTTACTACTGATATTTTGTTCATTGTTTTCCGTTTTGTTTTGTTTTTGGAGATCCTTCATTCCTTTCTTCCCTAGGCTGGCTAAGAATTCAAACTAAGTAGAATTTCCCATGGCTTCTGGGAGCAAGCAGCTCAGCGTTGCAGTTGGACAATGCTCCTAGCTGGTACCTCTGACCAATTGCTACTACTGGCAAGTACACAGAGCTACCATCAAGATCTGCATCCCGATTACTGTGGGTTCCACTTCCTTGCTTTGTATTAACATGACCTCACATGGTCTAGCCATGCCAATTTCTCCTGCTTTCCCCATGAGGTGTGACTGTAGTGACCTTTCTGGAAAGTGTCTCAGAATGATAGGAAAGCTGAGTGTCTGCCTCCAGTTCTCTTTTTCCTCTGCAGAAACTGACCCCTGGAAATCTTTTCTGTGCAGTGCTGTGCCCGTTTGTGTGAAGAGAGGGGATGACATAGTCAAAGTGAGACTGCTTCTTCTACTCTGGGTTTTATTCTGTCTTCTGAACTGTGCTGGAGACTTAGGCATATTTCCAATTTGAAGCGTTTTCACTAAGGTGTTCTTGTCTGTGCATAGTAGCTAGTTGAACTTTATTTGGGAGGTAATGAAGCTTGGGACCTCCTATTCTGCCATTTTGCTGATCCACATGCACTTTAAATTATTTCATCAGGTTATATTCTGATTCTTTTATATAGCTGTCATGGGTTACCCTGAGCTCCCTGTGGAAAATCATATCTACTTTCTTTTCCCCAGTATGTTAAGGTTTTTACTACCTAGAGGAGCTGGGAAAAAAAAAATATTGGGGAGGATTTTCATGTCTTTCCTTCAGTAAATGTTTTGGACCTCTACTCAGTCTTTTATCACAAGGCTGCTCTTTGGGCATTTTAACTATTCAATTTTTTAAGTGCCTTTGAAATATGTGGAGAAAACCCTCCAACTGGGTGTGATTTCTCCTGATATTTGCAGTCCCCCAAGGCTTCACTATTATCTGATTAGACCACACAAGACACTATTTTGTTAATAATATGTAGTTGAATTGTCCTTGGAGCTCAGTTGCATTTAATTTTGCACACCAGTGTTCATATATCCTTTCAGATGCCTGTCTTTCCTTAGAATTTGGGTAAGTTGTTTGGTTGGTTGCCTTGCAATATCAGTTGTCTGGGGAACTCATAAAGTTGTGTATTTGTAAATTGTCCTTATTTTTTTGTATTGTTAAATGGGTAAGCACTATGTTATATCCATCTTTCCACATTTCATATTAAACAGAAATTTTGAACTTCTACCAAAATTTATTGAAATTTTCAATAGAATATTTTTACCATTGATTTTCTAATATTGAAACAAATTATTGGCTTCCTCTTATATGTTGTTTGGTTGTAATGATCCTCTATTTTCCTGAATTTTACTTGTTAAGATATTATTATTTTTAATTCATAAGTGAGTTTTTAAAATAATTATCTTTTTGTGCCTTCTCATTCAGGCTTATTGTCAGCTTTTTTGTGGATTCACAAAAAGCATTCGTCTTTTTTCTTCACTCTCTTTTCTTGAAAAATTTGAATACAACCGAAATAATTTATTCTAATATGCTTTGAAAGAATTATCTTATAAATGGTCTTCAGGGTATTCCTTCTAGTGGGTGACATTTGATTGTTGAAGTTTCCTGAATTGCTTTCATTGTCATTAGGCTACCTATCTCTTTGAGATATTTTTTAAACCAAGATGTCCTAGGAAAAATTATTTTATCCAGGTATTCAAAAATAGTTGCCTAAAGCTTAGGAAAGTACTCATTTGTGATTTTTCTATTATCTTACTAATTTTATGATGATTTTTCTACTTCACTTTAAATTTTAAATACTTATATGCTTTTCTATTTTCATTTTTATTACATCATTTTCCTTTCTTCCTTAAGTGCATTTTGTTGCTATATGAGTAATATTTACTTTACACTATATTTACCAGAAATTGAGTTACTTTCACAACTGGCTTTATAAATTTCAGACAATATTTACTCTTTGATGCAGAAATGAGGAAATAATTGCAATAGTATGTTTTTTATTTATTTCATTAATATTTTACTTTTATGGTTGAGCATATTTACCTTTATAATGTTTTATCATGGACATTATCTTCATTTTGTACTTGTTAATTCGTAGATGGACATTTGTCTTTTTGCTGGGATACCTCCTTTTCAATTTTAGCTGGATTATGCTGTCATGTAATTTTCAAAAAAGACTCCTGGATTCCGAATTTCTACTCGTTTCTTGTGTATGTGAGTGGCAAGATCATATACTGTGTTAAAGAATCTTACCTTAGAAAAGCTTTAGATAGTGTTCCACTGTTACTTAATATAATCAATTCTTTTGAAAATAAAAATAAAAACAAAACAAAACAAAAGGTTGATCTCAGTGTTTTCCAGTGTTGTCTCCCGGAGTTATTTGTGCCTGTCTTCCTCTTCCCCCAACGTACTTGAAATATCTTAGCTCTCTCCATAAATCTAATAATACTTTCTACATTTGTATTAATTCTTTATCTATTATCCTACTACTCACACTCTGGGTTTCTTGGGACTTTCAATCTATGAATGTGTTTGTCCTTTATTTTCAAAAAAAATTATTCTATAAATAAAATGTTAGAATGCCTTTCTCTTAACATGGAATAATAGATAAGAAATAAACATGAATGTTATCATGTCTTCCACCTAACACTGGATAATAGAAAAAAAAGAAACTTTTTTTTTTTTCTTTTTGACATGGAGTCTCACTCTGTCATCCGGGCTGGAGTGCAGTGGTGCAATCTCGGCTCACTGCAACCTTGGTCTCCCAGGTTCAAGCAATTCTCCTGCCTCAGCCTCCCAAATAGCTGGGATTACAGGCACGCGCCACCATGCCAAGCTAATTTTTGTATTTTTAGTAGAGACAGGGATTCATCATGTTGGCTATGCTGACCTCAAACTCCTGACCTCAGGTGATCCTCCCACCTCAGCCTCCCAATGTGCTGGGATTACAGGTGTGAGCCACTGCACCGAGCCGAAAAAGAAACTTTGATGGAATTACAAGTATTCTGGTTTTTAAGTTGTATTTTTAGTATATATTTTAAGTTTCAGTTATTTTAAAAAGTACTACTTTTGCTAATTAGTTCAAAATTCTGTGTGTAAGGATAAACCAGTTTAGAGTTGTAGAAACATGTCATTGATATTGTTTATTTCATTATGTCTCTGGTATTAACTACTCATATCATTTACAATAATTTTATTCCTACCATATGGATAAAATAATTGATATTCAGAGATTTAAAAGAAGTAAATAAATTTAAATCAATTTAGCATTTAGTGTCATGATCAAACTTAGTATTTAGTGCCATGATTAAACATAATCTAATCAAACTTATATTTCTCTACTCAGATATCATGTCTCTGGTTGAATATGTTATTTTAAAACATGCAAGTGAAGGTGTGCTATTTTTTATTAATAAAAATGTCCAGCATTAAATAATGCTTGGACTTATTGGAATTTCTTTAAAAACTCTTGCTTTCTTTTTCTTTTGTGTCTTCTCTAATAAGGATATAAATAAATTTAATGCAAAGCAAACTAAAATATACTCATTGCTTCATAACATCTATGGCAATGTTTCATTTTGGTGCACATAAATATTTTCCTTAATATCTATACCCCAACTTTTATAGTGTCTATGGAAAACTGTATAACACATTTAATGAAATTATTGAAAAATGAGAGAAATAATAAGCACTGTTAAGAAAACAGTTTACCAAACTGTTCAAGTCTTTGTATAAGTAGTATTTGTTGACTTAAAACTCCATGCAAATAAATCTTTAAAATCTGTATAGTAAAAAAAGACATCATGGAGATCTATTTAAAATGACATTTGTTGAATTCTAGCCCCTGTTAAAATTTCCTGTCCTATATAAGAGTAACATCTTATAATTCAAACTATCTTTTCTGAGTACGTCAGCAGAAGTATATTCATTAAGTTGATATAGATCTTTTCCTAACCTTAACCAGACTTGCAAGTACAAGTTTAGCAGAGTATTTATATGGTAAGCATACTGAAACTGCTTACTATATAAAGTGGAACCTGTGCTATCTCTTTCAAATTACATGTTTCGGATCTCACTTTTTTTGAAGAAAGAACTATAACTCAATCTCTTTTCTCGCAATTTCAGCAAAATCTTAACTTGAAACACAAAGTATAGATAAATAACCTAGATTTTGAATATACAGCCTGGTGAGACTAAGGTCGTATAATTTGTGTTATAATAACAACAAGATGAAGAAGAACTAATATGAGAAATAAACAGTGAGTGGCAATCTTATGTTAATATAAGCAAGTTTTAATTTGTATGTCACTAAAAACTTCTTGTAGAAAAAAAGTATTTTTTGTGAAACTATAAATCATTGTAATTATTTTATTAGAAATAGAAATGTGGCTTTCAAACCCTTAACCCAATTTATTTTTTGTTTCGCTTTTATAAACTTACTTTAATTTTAGGGGTTTATTTATATAATTATTTTATAATAATCTGTTTAGTAACTTCTACTTGTTCTCTCAAATCTCCCAGATGACTAAAGTAAAAACAAAACAAAACAAAATCTACAACCTTCTTCCCTTTTACCTATAAACTATCTCATTGTCTCTAATTTTTGACAATTATGACATTATCTCTCCTTAATGACAATTTTTCATTCCCTTTGGCTATTAGGTAACTCATAGCTGATTGACAAATGTGAAATTACTCCTACCACCAATCCTCATGTTCATTCTAAGATTATAAATCTTTCAAGACTTTTGCATAAACAACCTGAGCAGTAATACTAACTTATAATATGTTCTTTTAACTAAAAGTTTATAACACTTTTGTCTATATTGTACAGTTGCCTTGATTTTTATAGGCATTTACCATATTATTAGATTTTTGATTCATGATATTATTTGCTTTGTATTCTGTTAGCTCTCATTCATCAAACACAAATCTTTCTTATTTATATTTTATTTATAATTCCAAATATTGTTTGCAAAAAGTATAATTCTCTTTATTCAATGAGCAAATTAACTTTTTCAGTCTTTTTTTTTTTCAGTTGCAAGATTTAATAGAGTGAAAACAGAGCTCCCATAAAATGGGAGGGGACCCACAGGGGTTCACCGCTCCCTGCTCGAATGCCTGGATTTATATCCCGATAATTGTCCCTCCCCCTGTGCTCTCAGGCAATATATGACTTGACTATTTCTTTACCTCCTGCTTTAGCCTAATTTGTATTTTAGTGAGCCCTCTTTACTACCTGATTGTTCGGGTGTGAACTGAGTTACAAGCCCCGTGTTTAAAGGTGGGCGCGGTCACCTTTCCCAGCTATGCTTAGGAATTCTTAGTCAGCCTAGGAAATCCAGCTAGTCCTGTCTCTCAGTACCCCTTCTTAACAGGAAAACCCAAGTGCTGTTGGGGAGGTTGGCCAACAACTGCTCTAAATGCTTCCTGCTGAATTGGGGCATAGTAGGGGTTGTGCAGTTGAGATTTCCTTGGGAGGGGTGCCTTCAATGTCATTAACATCAGAGCATGGGCCAGCAGGATGGTCCAGGCGTCCGCAGTAGATCTTAGTCATGGACTGCTTCTGGGGCTCCATTTGAAGAACTATTTGTAGTTTTACAACTTCAATTATGGAAGAGACAAACTTAACAAGGAGGTTAAAGATACAGGAATTGAAATGTATGGCCTGAAGTGCAGGGGCATATGGGTGTGGGTGGTGAAAGTGGGGTTTCCTTTAGAAAAACTCCTATACGATGAGGCATCAATATTTCTGGGAAGCTGCATTCTCCACAGAAGCTCTTGGTAAGGTGAGCTACTGGTAGTATAGCTGCATGGAGGGGGTGCAGTGAGAGTGAAAGGTTTAGTGAAGGGTTTTAAGTAATTTCCATTGGTTAGCTGCATTCCATCCTGAGGGGAGGAAACTATGTCCTTGTGATGTTCCCCATTCTATTTCTTCTGCTGAGTGCTGGGGCTTGGTTTTCTGGAGGGGATTACCACATACTAGGGGTCCTTCTATAAGCATTTCTAATGGAGGTCGCCTTGCGGCTCTTTTGGCTTCATTATCCACTTGGTGGTTCCCCTCTATTTCCCTTTCCTTTCTGATGACCCCAGCAGTGTAAGACTGCTACCTCTTTAGTTTTCTATACAGCCAAGAATAATCTCCTAATGGCTTCCTTATGTTTGATAGGTGTTCCCTCAGAAATTAGCAATTCCCTTTCCATATTGCTGTGTGGGCATGGAGGACTAGGTAAGCATACTTAGAGTCTGTATATATATTTACCCTTTTTCCTTCTCCTAATTCTAGTGCCCAAGTGAGGGATATTAGTTCTGCCAGCTGAGTGCTATTTCCGGGAGTGAGGGGATTACTTTAAAATATTCCATTATTACTAAAAACTGCATACCCCGCTTTTCGAAGTCCTTTTTCTACAAAGGAACTTCCATTAGTATACAAGTTGAGGTCGGGATCAGTCAAGGGAACCTCTAGAAGGTCCCCTTGAATGGTGTAGGTTTGAACAATCACCTGTTGATGGTTATGTTCTATCTTTTCTTTATTGTTTGGAAGAAATGTGGCTGGGTTAAGAGTTGCACAAGTGTGCAGTCGCAGCACTGGCCTTTTAAATAATAGAGCCTGATTAAGCAAAAGGTTGTCTGACAGCCACAAGTCTCCTTTAGCAGTGAGTGTGCCACTTACATCATGAGATGTCCACACAGTAAGTTCTCTTCCCTGTATTATTTTAACTGCTTCAGATACTAAGACTGCTACTGCAGCCACTACCCATAAACAATGAGGCCAACCCTTTGCCACCACATCAATTTCCTTGCTCAGGTGTGCCACGGGTTGAAAGCTGGTCCCTTGAACCTGTGTAAGGACTCCTAGAGCTATTCCTGTTTTTTTCTGTGACATATAAAGAAAACTCTTGCCCTGTTGGCAAGCTTAACACTGGGGCTTGGGTTAGGGCCTCCTTTATGGCCTGGAAAGCCACTTCTCCTTCAGGTGTCCATCTTACTAAATGGGTATTGGCTTTCTGAGTTTCCTTAATTAGTGTATATAAAGGCCTGGCTATTTCACCATACCTGGGAATCCATATTCGGCAGAAGCCTGTTATGCCAAGGAACCCTCTTAATTGCTTTAGGGTTTTGGGATGAGGATAAGCCAGTATAGGCTGGATACATTCCTTACTGAGGGCCCTGGTGCCTTTGGATAATTTTAGCCCTAAGCATTTAACCCGCTATGAGCAGAGCTGAGCCTTTGGTTTGGAAATCTTGTAGCCACAGGTGGCGAGGAAATTTAAGAGCACTTGGGTGGCTTGATGGCACAAGGTTTCTAAATGGGCAGCTAAAAGTAAATCATCCAGGTACCGAAGGACAAGAGTATTCAGGTATGAGAACTGGCTCAAGTCTTGGGCTAATGCCTGGCCAAATAGATGAGGGCTATTCCTGAACCCTTGGGGTAAAACAGTCCAGGTGAGTTGAGATGTTGGGTTTGAAGGATCTTCAAAGGCAAACAAGAATTGAGACTCACGATGTACAGGGATACAGAAAAAGGCATCCTTAAGGTCCAGGACTGTAAACCACTCTGCTTCCTCTGGTATTTGGGAAAGCAGAGTATAAGGGTTAGGTACAGCTGGGTATAGAGGGACAATGGCCTCATTGATAATCCTGAGATCTTGTACTAACTTCCACTGTCCGTTGGGTTTCTGTACTCCTAAAATTGGAGTATTGCAGGGGCTATTGAATGGTTTTACTAAGCCTTGGGCTTTTAGGTCTTTAACAATCTTTTGGAGTCCTTGTTGGGCCTCCAGTCTAAGGGGGTACCGCCTTTGGTAGGGAAAGGAAGCAGAATCCTTTAACTTGAACAGGACGGGCATTCTTTGTCCGTCCATATTGTCCTTCTGTTGCCCAGACTTTGGGATTAATTTCTTCCTCAAGCAGGGGACAACAAACGGGTGTTCCTTCTCCTGTGTTCAGGTGTATAATGGCCCCTGGTTTTGCTAGAATGTCTCCCCCTAACAAGGTAGTGGGGCTTTCAGGCATAATTAGAAAGGCATGTGAAAAGAGTAAAGTTCCCCATCACAACTTAGTGGCTGGGAGAAATATCTAGTGACTGGCTGTCCTAGGACCCCTCAGATAGTGACAGGTCTGGAGGACAGTTGTCCAGGACAGGAAAGTAAGACTGAGAAGGCTGCGCCAGTGTCCAGGAGACAGTTAACTTCCTGGCTTTCAATGGTCAAGCATACCTGGGGCTCTGTGAGGGTGATGGCATGGGCTGGGACTTGCCCCCAGCACCTTCAGTTCTGCTGCTGGATCATCTGGTTAGTGGCTTCTGACTCAGAGGACCTTCATCCCCTGGGGCAGTTGGCCTTCCAGTGATTCCCTTGACATAAGGGGCATGGACGAGGGGGCGGCTTATTTCTATTTGGACAATCTTTTTTAAAATGTCCTTGTAGACCGCACTGGAAGCAAGTCCTATGAGGCATTCAATTTGCCCAGCCTTTCCATATTCCAGAGCCTCCAAAGTCTGCTTTCCTGAGGGCCATGACTAAAGCGGTGGCCTTTTTCTTATCTTGTTTGTCCCGTTCCACCTGCTCCTCCTGATCTCTAGTATAAAAAAAATAAGGTTGCCAATTTTAATAGGGTTTTTAAGTTTTGCTCCAGGCCTAAGTTGGACTTTTCAAGTTTTTTTTAATGTCTGCAGCTGACTGAGTGATAAATTTATCCTTTAAGATTAGTTGGCTTTCAACAGAGTCAGGTGACAGAGAGGTATGCTTCTTAGTCTCTCCAGAAAGGCAGTAGGATTTTCTTCCTTTCCCTGTGTTATAGTGGACATCACTGAATAATTCATAGGCTTCTTCCTAGTTTTCCTTAGTGCTTCTTGCACACAAGTTAGCAAATGTCTGCAACACTAATCTCCATGTTCTGATTCTGTGTCCCAATGAGGGTCTACACTGGGAACTGCCTGCTGGCCTGTGGGGAATCATTATCTTTTCTCTGTTGTCATCCTATCATTGACCTGACTGAGATACCAGAGATTGCCAAACTCTCGAGCTGCAGTTATGGCGGCACTTCTCTCACTTGGGGTTAGTGTCTGATCTAGCAGTAACATTATATCTCTCCATGTCAGATCAAAGGATTGTCCTAACCCTTGTAAAACATCAATATAGCCATCAGGGTTATCTGAGAATTTATCTAGGTCTATTTTAATATGCTTCAAGTCTGAGAGAGAAAAAGGTACATGTACTCTGAGCTGAATTCTCCAGAATACATCTCAGGGGTGTTTTTGACTTAGGGGGAATGTTTCCCATCTGAAAAAAAAACACAGGGATGCCAGCACCCCTAGTACATTTCCAATGAGCATTAGTCCTAGAGCGTCCTCTATGGTCCTAATGCTTATTCCCTTCCAGGTGCGTAACCACCCATGGACCTCTGCTTATTGGATTCGTTACGCTCACCAATGCAGCAGTCCTGCACCTGTTTTCCTTCTTTTCTTGACCACAAAGAAAGGGGTCTGGGTTGCTGGATTCTAGTGGTCCCTTACCAGCATTCTCAACATTGCCTTTTCAGTCAGGAGTGAGTTCTAGAGCTGGGCTGGGTTCCTGAGTATTTCTTAACAAGCCAGCTGCCCTATCAAGATGCAGTCCCATAAACAACAGTTATTATGCAAATTCATTTCAGAGAGGGTGTAGGTAACCTTTTGAGTAAGGATTGAGATAGTGTTTTTTGATTCTGTAAGTACTTTAAGGCTTGGCTGAGTGCAAACAGCTTGCACATTTGAGCAGACCAATTATTAGGCAATTTTCCTAACTCTGCTTCCACAAGAGTCTCCCTATCAATTATTGAATACCCATTGTGGTTTTTTTCTCAATCACCTGGGAGGAGCCATGTATCATCCTGTCCTGAAGGGAGTTCCTCCTAGGTCTGGTCAGACCTTTGTAAGGTAATTAAGATTTAAATCCCCTGTTAGGAAATCTTCTGTGTTAAGGGAATTTTCAGTGGTTAATGTTAAATCACCTTTTTCTAACAGAATAGCCCCATACTTTAAGATTTTCGAGTTAGTAAGCTAACTTTTTGCTTTTTTGACTTAGAATAATTCTGAACTGGTGAGGTGTGCTCACAATGAGGTTTCCTCTGAAAGTTACTTTTCTACTTTCTTCTGTTGGCAAAGCAGTTGCCGCTACAGATTGAATGCATTTGGGCCATCTGTGGGTTCCTAGGTTAAGGATTGTTGATAGGAAGGCTATTAGTTGTCAGTGGTCTCAGTGTTTTCAGGTTATGCCCTTGTTTACACTGACAACAAGGTAGTATTGGAGTGTTATAGGGTAATGGAGAAGACCTTCAGTTATCAATTATAGGTTTTAAATTTACCCTGGCTTTTAAAGGAATAGAGCACACTGTTTTTTCTTTACTACTTCTATCTCTCTTTTTCTCTCTCTCCCTCTCTTTTCTCTCTTTTGTTTCTCTGTCTCTCTCTCTCTGTCTCTTCTCTCCTTGACTTACTCAATTCACTTTCATCCTGATTTATTACGTTGTCATAGACCCAGTTCCAGTTGTTAAAGTACTTGGTCATCAGTTCTAAGGCCCTGGCCAAAGAGCCAAGGCTTGGAGATTGTATTGCAGAGGGGTAAGCTGGGTAAAAATTGGGGGAGGAGAGCATCTTACACAATGGGATAGCAATCCTCTTAGCCATTTACAAACTTGGGGCCCTGGCAAGGGTGGTGGGGAACAGGTCCCACATAACTGCCCATGTCAAGACCTGTATGCCTAAATTGGGAGGGACACAAGGGACAAGACTCCTTGGGTTCATAGCCTAGATGCCTAAGGACACAGCATAGCGCTTCCTTAGATCCCTTTGGAGATACAACTTGCTCTAATACTTGGGAGAGAAAATGAAAGTCTGAACCATTAGTACCTAGGAGGCAGGGATTGGAAGAAGTAGATTCAGAGGTAAGGAGAATTTTGGGGCTACACTTTCAAGAAAGTCGTGGTTCAGGACCCAGGAGGTATGGGTCAGAAGGAAAGGTAGGGATGTATGCATGGGCGACTGTTGAGTAGAGACTTCTGGCTGCACCATGATCTCAACCAGCTAATGTCAGGAGTTCAGGTCAACAGCTTTCTTCCTCTAGTCGGTCCTCCACTTCCCCAGGAAAATTGAAAGTGGAAGCTGCTGGTTCCAGGCAGACCAATGCTCCCAACCCAGAAGGGTTGGGGATTGTTAGAAAGCCCTTCCCCAGACAGCCTCACTCCTGAGTCTTAAGTCTGGTGTCCACGCTAATTGTTTTTAACGGACCGACAGGTGCCTAGTATTTTCCTCCAGTTCTAAGGAAGGATAGGACAGAATAGCAAGTGAAAGTGGTCCAGTATTAAAACTTTGGAGGTCCCTTCATGGTCACCAAAATGTTACAGGGGGGTCCTTGCTCCCAGAGCTCCCAAGATGGTGGCAGACTGCTTCCAAGGTGGTGGTAAGCCTCTTGTTCTCTGATCTGGGGTTCTTGGCCTCACAGATTCCAAGGAATTAAATCTTGGGCCATGTGGTGAGTGTTATAGCTCTATTAGAAGCCGTGGTTCATGGAAGAGAACTGTGGAACCCAGCGACTAGTGTTCAGCTCAATTAGGATGAACCTGGACACTTAGCCATGCAGGAACAATGGTGAGCCTTTAGCCTGATCAGGAGCGGCAATAGGCACCTCACTGGATCAGGAGCACAGTGGACACCTTGCCAGATTCAGAGGGGTAGAAGTCAGTGGCGGGTCTGCAAGGGTTGCAACAGCAGTGGTGAACAGTGAGCGAAAGCTCAGCTTGAGCCGTAACAAACACGAACCAGAAGAGTGTGCAGTTGCAAGATTTAATAGAGTGAAAACAGAGCTCCCATAAAATGGGAGGGGACCCAAAAGGGGTTTCCCCTTTTTCAGCTTTAAGTAAGTGTCACTCACACAAGATGAGAAGATCTAGGATTTTTCACCCAGATCTAGTCTAATGGTGAGTTCATGCTTGTAATCATTGCTTAAGTTTCATCCTATAGTATTGTGAGTCTCTGGCAAAGTAAAAATTATCAGAAGGCTGGATACAATTAAAATGTTTGAATCAGTTTGAAAGTACTTGATCCCCATCTGAGATACAGGTAGCCTCATGAACAGGCATCAGACAGCAGAAAATATTCAGCTTACTTTCATCCTCCCCATTCTTATTACAGTATATTAAATCTTTCCTCTCTCCATTATTCAATAACTGAATGTTTCTTTAGATTCTCAGGCACTTTGGGAAGATTAATATTGTTAATATTATTTTTTCTTAATTCTTTTTCTCATTAAATTACTTAGCATTCATTTTTATTGTTATTTAGAAAGGACTTAAATCCATGTATTTGAACACCCATCTGATATAAAAACCCTCTGTTAGAGCCATCAGACATTAAAACCTTCATTATTAAATTAAAAAAAATCATGAGGCTCCAAACATGCAGGTTATTTGCCTAATGTTCTGCAGCTATTACTAATGTTTCATTTGTTATCAACCTTAGTTAAGTTGGTATGAGGATCATTTTGAATAATTTCTCTAGCAATAGCTGAATATGGTATTTCCAACACTTCCCTCTTATTTCTTACTGTTATTCTATATACCCTCTGAAAAACATACGGAATATGGAAGCTTCTGCACCTACAACAACAAAAACAACAACAAAAAGTAGAGTAACAGGTTTCAAAATTAAATCAAGAGATGTTTGGAATGAGTATATTATATAGCAGTGTGAATGTAAACCTAAAAGAAAAAAATACAGCAGTAAGAAATGTTATTTTATGTGTTATTTTATGTGTACTCTTCACCTAGGTTCTCTAAATGACAATACACACTTATACACACATACTCATAAATACACACATACACGCACATAAACATGTATGTGTACATATACAGTCCTGCCTCTGGTGAAGTATTGTGGATGGGAAAGTGTTTAAGGATGGTTGGAAGGGGGCATTTTTTAAATTTTTAAAAAATAAACTCCTTTGTACTATTTTTTAATTCTCTTCATGTATTTGTTTCAGAGATTTCAATGCATAGTCAATGCATCTTTTTTTCTAGGAACTCTGGATTTCTGGTCCACTGCACTTAAAGCTCTATGTTCTCTATAAAAATATTTATTTATTCTATTTTTTAAAAATTGTGTGGGTATATAGTAGGTGTATATATTTGTGCGGTACATGAGATGATTTTTGTTTTTGTTTCTGTTTTGAGATGGAGTCTTGCTCTGTCACCCAGGCTGGAATGCAGTGGCACGATCTTGGCTCACTGCAAGCTCCACCTCCTGGGTTCATGCCATTCTCCTGCCTCAGCCTCCTGAGTAGTTGGGACTACAGGTGCCTGCCACCATGCCCAGCTAATTTTTCTGTTTTCTTAGTAGAGATGGGGTTTCACTGTGTTAACCAGGATGGTCTCGATCTCCTGACCTCATGATCCACCCGCATTGGCCTCCCAAAGTGCTGGGATTACAGGCGTGAGCCACCGCGCCCAGCCTACATGTGATGTTTTTATATAGACATGCAATAAACAATAATCATATGATGGAAAATAGGGTATCTGTCTTCTCAAGCATTTATCCTTTGAGTTACAGTCCAATTATACTCTTTTAGTAATTTTTAAATATACAATTAAATTACTGTTGACTATAGTCACCATGTTCAAACACTAGGTCTTATTTATCCTTTCTAAGTATATATATAATATTTGTACCCATTAACCATCTCCACTTTCCCTTCACACCCTCATTACCCTTCCCAGCCTGTGATAACCATCTTTCTACTCTTGATCTCCATGAGTTCAATTATTTTGATTTTTGGCACCACAAATAAGTAAGAACATTCAAAGTTTGTCTTTCTACATCTAATTTTACCTAACATAATGATCTCCAGTTTTATCCATGCTGTTGCAAATGACACGATCACATTTTTTATGACTATATAGTATTTCATTGCATATATGTATTACATGTTCTTAATCCAATCGTCTGTTGATGGATGTTTAGGTTGCTTCCAAATCTTGGCTATTGTGAACAGTGCAGCAACAAATATAGGAGTCCAGGCATCTCTTCTATATACAGATTTTCTTTAGGGTATATACCCAGCAGTGGGACTGTGGATTGTATGGTAGCTTTATTTCCAGTTCTTTTGAGGAAGCTCCAAACTGTTCTCCATAGTAGTTGTATTAATTTACATTCCAACCAACAGTGTGCAAAGATTCCTTTTTTCCCCACACCCTTGCCCACATTTGTTATTGCCTATTTTTTGGATTAAACAAAATTTTTAACTGGAATGAGATACCTTCTTGTAGTTTTGATTGGCATTTCTCTGATGCCAATGATATTGAGAACCTTCACATATGTCTGTTTGCCATTTATATGTCTTCTTTTGAGAAATGTCTATTCAAATCTTTTTTAAAAAGATTATTAGATTTTCTCCTATAGAGTTGCTTGAGCTCCTTATATGTTCTGGTTATTAATCCCTTGTCAGATGGACAGTTTGCAAATATTTTCTGCCATTCTGTGGGTTGTCTCTTAACTTTATTAATTACTTCCTTTGCTGTGAAGAAGCTTTTTAACTTTATGTGATCTCCTTTTTCCATTTTTGCTTTGGTTGCCTGTGTTTATGGGTATTATTCAAGAAATTTTTCCCCAGAACAATGTCCTGGAGAGTTTCCCAATGTTTTCTTGTAGTAGTTTCATAGCTTGAGGTCTTGGATTTAAGTCTGTAATCCATTTTCATTTAATTTTTATAAATAATGGGAGATAGGGGTCAAGTTTTATTCTTCTACATATGGCTACCAAGTTTTCAAGCAACATTTACTCAAGAGACTGTCTTTTCTTCAGTGTATGTTCCTGGCACCTTTGTTTAAAAAGAGTTCAATGTAGGTGTATGGATTTGTTTCTCAGCTCTCTATTCTGCCCCATTGGTCTCTGTGTCTGTTTTTATGCCAGTACCATGCTGTTTGGTTACTATAACTCTGTAGTATAATTCGAAGTCAGGTAATTTCTTTTTTGAAATTTCAAATTTGACTCCAGGTTTCTTCTTTTTTGCCAGCAGAGCTTTGCTATTCTGGGTCTTCGGTATTTCCATATAAATTTTAGGACTTTTTTCTTATTTCTGTGGAGAATGTCATCAGTATTTTGGTAAGTATTGTGTTGAATCTGTGGATTTCTTTGGGTAGTACAGACATTTTAACAATATGATTATTTCAATCCATGAACATTTTTGTGTTCTCTAAGCATTTAATTCCTAAGTATTTAATTTTATTTTTGTCTATTGTAAATGACATTACTTTTTTGATTTTTTTTCAGATTGTTCACTCTTGTCATATAGAAATGCTACTAATTTTTGTATGTTGATATTCTATTCTACTACTTTATTGAATTTATCAGTTCTAGCAGTTTTTAGGGGGAGTCTTTACATTTCCCCAAATATAAGCTCATATCATCTGCAAATAAGGATAATTTATCTTCTTCCATTTCAATTGGGATGCCCTTTACTTTTTTCCCTCTTGTTTGATTGCTCTAGCTAGGAATTCCTGTACTATATTGAATAACAATGGAGAAAGTGGGCATCCTTGTCATGTTCCAGATCTTAGAAGAAAGGATTTCAGTTTTTCCCCATTCAGTATGATATTAGCTATGGGTCTGTCATGTTTGGCTTTTATTTATTATGTTGAGGTATGTTGCTTCCAAACCCAGTTTTTTGAGGGTGTTTTTATGAAGGAATGTTGAATTTTATCAAATGCTTTTTCAGCATCATTCAAAATGATCATATATTCATTTTAATGATCGGGCGATCTATTACCATTTGATTCAGCAATCCCACTACTGGGTATCTACACAGAGGAAAAGAAGTCACTATATGAAAAGGGCACTTGCACATGAATGTTCATAGCAGCACAATTCACAATTGCAAAACTATGGAACCGGTCCAAATGCTCATCAATCAATGAGTGGATAAAGAAAATGTGGTATATGTATACCATGGGATACCACTTAGCCATAGAAAAAGGAACAAATTAATGGCATTTGCAGCAACCCAGATGACATTGAAAATCATTATTCTAAGTGAAGTAACTTGGGAATGGAAAACCAAACATCATATAGTCTCAGTCATAAGTGGTAATAAACTATGAGGATGCAAAGGCATAAGAATGACACAATGGACTTTGGGAACTAGGTGTAAGTGTGGAAGTGAGGTGAGGAATAAAAGACTTCACATTTGGTACAGTGTACACTGGTCGGGTGATGGGTGCACCAAAATCTCAGAAATCACCATTAAAGAACTTATCCATGTAGCCAAACATCACCTGTCCCCCCAAAAAATATTGAAATAAAAAATAGAATTAAATAAATAAATAATAAATAATTTAAAAGTATTTTTGTCCTTCACTGTCTTTATATAATGTATCACATTGCTTGATTTGCATATGTTGAACCTTCCTTACATCCCAGCAATAAATCTCACTTGGTCATGACAAATGATCTTTTAAAGTGTTGTTGAATACAGTTTGCTAGTATTTTTTTACATTAATATTTATCAGAGATATTGGCGTGTAGTTTTCTCTTTTTGATGTGTCTTTGTTTGGTTTTGATATGAAGGTAATATTAGCCTTGTAGAATGAGTTTGAAAATATTCCCCCCTCCTCTATTTTTCAGGATATTGGAGTATGGTTGGTAGTAACTTTTTTAAATGTTTGGTAGAATTCAGCAGGAAAGCCATTGGGTCTCAGGTTTTTCTTTAGAGGGAGACTTTTTATTAGAGCTTTGATCTCGTTACTTATTATTGGTTGGTTCAGGTTTTGGATTTCTTCATGATTTAATCTTGGTAGGTTTTAGGTTTTAGGAATGTATACATTTCCTCTAGATTTTCCAATTTGTTGGCATAAAATTGCTCATAGTAGCCACTAATGATCCTTTGAATTTCTGCAGTATCAACTGTAATGTCTTCTTTTTCATCTGTGATTGTATTTATTTGGATCTTCAGTCTCTCTCTCTCTCTCTCTTTTTGTTAGTCTGGCTAAAATTTTGTCAATTTTATTTATGTTTTCAGAAAAATCAACTTTTTTGCTACACTGATTTTTTGGATTCTTTTCTTCACTTCAAATTCATTTATTTCTGCTCAGACCTTTATAATTATTTATCTTCCAGTAGTTTTAACTGTGGTTTGCTTTTGCTCTTTTAGTTATTTTAGATGCACTGTCAAGTTATTTATTTAAAGTTTTTCTTCTTTTTTGATGTAGGCACTTATGGCTATAATTTTCCTCTTAGTACTGCTTTCACATATTCCATAGGTTTTAGTATGTTGTACTTACATTATCATTTGTTTCAAGAAATTTTTCAATTTTTTCTTAGTTTCTTCATGGACAAACTGGTCATTCAGGAGCATATTGTTTAATTTCCATGTGTTTGTATAGTTTCCGAAGTTCCTCTTGTTATTTTTCTAGTTTTATTCCATTGTGATCAAAGAAGATGCTTGATATTATTTCAATTTTTTGAATGTTTTAAGACTTGTTATCATATGGTCTATCTTTGAAAATAATCCATGTGCTGAGGAAAAGAATGTGTATTTTTCAGCTCTTGGATGAAATGTTCTGTAAATATCTATTAGATCCATTTGGTCTATAATGTAGACTAAATCTGATACTTCTTTGTTAATTTTTTGTCTGGAAGTTCTGTCTAATATTGAAAGTGGGAGTTGAAATCTGCAGCTATTATTTTATTAAGGTCTATCTTTCTTTTCAGCTCTAATAATATTTCCTTTATATATCTGGGTGCTCCAGTGTTGGGTGCATATATATTTAAAATTGTTATATCTTCTTGCTGAATTGACACCCTTATCATTACATAACAATTTTCTTTGTCTCTTTTTATAGTTTTTGTCAGGAAATCTATTTTTTTCTGATAGAAATATAGTGACTTCTGTTCTTTTTTGGTTTCCATCAACATGGAACATTTTTTTCCACCCCCTTATTTTCAGTATATGTGTATATTTATAGGTGATGTATGTTGCTTGTAGGCAACAGATCATTGGGATTTTGCATTTTTTTAAAAAATTCTTTCAGCAACTCAATGTGTTTTGATTGGAGAGCTTCCTTCATGTCAATTTCATGTTATTATTGATAAGTAGGGACTTATTCCTGCTGTTTTGTTCTGTTTTCCAGTGGTTTTGTAGTCTTATCCTTCTTCTTCCTTCTTGTCTTCCTTTTAGTTAAGGTGATTTTCTCTGGTGATATGATTTAATTCTGTGCTTTTTATGTTTTGTGTATTTGTTGTATGTTTTCAATTTGAGGTTATCCTGAAGCTTGGAAATACTATATTATAAGTCATTATTTTACTTATTTTTAAAAAGCAAGAGGTTATTTTCTGTAAAGAGAGAACAATACAACTGGGTAACTCTTATTGGCTATAATTAATACATACAAAGTCTTTTTAAATTTTTAAAAACGTTTTAAAATTTTATGGGTCATAGTAGGTGTATATACTTATGGAGTACATGAGATGTTTTGATACAGGCGTGCAATGTAAAATAAGCACATCACGGAGAATGGGGTATTCATTTCCACAAGCATTTGTCCTTTAAGTTACAAATAATTCAATTACACTATTTAACAATGTATAATTATTTTTTACTCCAGTCACCCTTTTATGCTATCAAATAATAGATCTTATTCTTACAAACTATTAATATTATTTGTATCCATTAACTATCCCCATCTTCCCCCCCCATCAATCCCCCACTACCTTTCCAAGCCTCTAGTAACCATCTTTCTACTGTCTATATCTATCAGTTCAATTGGTTTAATTTTTAGATCCCACAAATAAGTGAGGACATGTGACATTTGTCTTTTTATACCTGGTTTATTTCACTTAACATAATGATCTCCAGTTCTATCCATGTTGTGGCAAATGACTGGATTTCACTCTTTTTTATGGCTGAATTGTACTCCATTGTGTATATGTACTATGTTTCTTAAATTTATTCAACTTTTGATGGACACTTAGGTTGCTTCCAAATCTTAGCTATTATAAACAGTGCTGCAACAAATATAGGAGTACAGATACCTCTTCTATATAGTGATTTCCTTTCTTTTGAGTAGATACCCAGCAATGAAATTCCTGGATCACATAGTAGTTCAATTTTTCATTTTTTTAGGGAACTTCTGAACAGTTTTCTATAGAGGTGGTGCTAATTGACATTTCCACCAACACTGTAAAAGTGTTCCCTTTTCTCCACATCCTCACTAGTATGTTTTATTGCCTGTCTTTTGGATAAAAGTCATTTTAACTGGGGTGAGATTATATTTCATTGTAGTTTTGATTTGCATTTCTCCAGTAATCAGTAAAGTTGAGCACCTTTTCATGTGCTTGTTTGCCATTTCTATGTCTTCTACTGAGGCATGTCTATTCAAATCTTTTGCACTTTTTTTTTTTTTTTTGACAGAGTCTCCTGCCATTACCCAGGCTGGAGTGCAGTGGCACCCTCTCGGATTACAGGTGTAAGCCACTGCGCCTGACCTTTTGCACATTTTTAATATAATTATTAGACTTTTTCCCATAGAGTAGTTTGAACTACTTATATATGCTGGTTATTGATCCCTTGTCAGAGGGGTAGTTTGCAAATATTTTCTCTGATTCTGTGGTTTGTCTCTTCATTTTTTTATTGCACCCTTTGCTGTGCAGAAGCTTTTTAACCTGATGTGATCCCCTTTCTCTATTTTTGCTTTGATTGTCTGCGCTTGTCAGGTATTGCTCAAGAAATACCTAGACCAACGTCCTGGAGATTTTCCCCAATGTCTATTTACAGTAGTGGCATAGTTTGTGGTCTTAAATCAGGTTTAAATCTTTAATCTATTTTCATGTGATTTTTGCATATGGTGAGAGAGAGGGCTTTAGTTTCATTCTATCACATATTGATATGCAGTTTTTCCAGAACCACTTATGGAAGACACTGCCTTTTTTCTAGTGTTTGTTCTTGGAACCTTTGTAAAAGATGAGTTCACTTTAGGTGTATGGATTTGTTTCTGGATTCTCTATTCAGTTCCATTGATCTGTGTGTCTGTTTTTATGCAGTGCCATGCTGTTTGGGTTATTACAACCCTACAGTATAATTTGAAGTCAGGTAATGTGATTCCTCCAGCTTTGTTATTTTTGTTTAGTTTTTTTTTTTTTTTTTTTTGCTTTGGCTATTCTGGATAATCTGTGGTTCCATATGATATTTAAGATTTTTTTCCCTGTCCTCTTTCAGTGAAGGTGATTTTCTTCTGTGGTATGATTTAATTTCTTGCTTTTAATTTTTTTGTGTTTCTATTGTATGTTTTTTGGTTTGAGGTTACCATGAGGCTGGCCAGTACTATATTACAATCCATTATTTTAACCTGATAACAGCTTAATACTCCTTGCATAAATACACAAGCATGCAAAAATAAAACTAACAAAACTCTACACCTTAACTTTATTCCCCCACATTTTAACTTTTTTGTTGTTTCTATTTGTATCTTTTTGCACTACTATGTCTTGAAACATCATTGTGTTTATTATTTTTGATTAGTTCATAGTTGTCTATCTACCTGGGATAATAGTAGTTTATATACCACAGTTACTGTGGTATAATATTCTGTGTTTTTCTGTGTACTTACTATTACCAGTGAGTTTTGTATCTTCAGATGATTATTTATTGCTCACTAATGTCCTTTTCTTTCTGATTGAAGTTCTCTTTTTAACATTTCTTTTCAGACAGGCCTGTCATTAGTGAAATCCCTCAGCTTTTGTTTGAGAAAGTCTTTATTTCTCTTTCATGTTTGAAGTTCATTTTCGCCAGATATACTACTCTAGAGTAAAAGTTATTTCTTTCAACACTTTTCTTCTCTGTATGGTTTCCACTGAAAAGTCTGCTGCCAGATGTATTGGTGTTCCATTGCATGTTACTTGTTTCTTTTCTCTTGCTGCTTTTAGAATTGTTTCTTTATTCTTGAACTTTGGGAATTTAATTATTAAATGCCTTGAGGTAGTCTTCTTTGTGTTAAATCTGCTTGGTGTTCTGCAATCTTCTGGCATTTGAATATTGATGTCTTTCATTAGGTTGGGTAGTTCTCTGTTATTATTTTTTTGAGTAAACATAGTACTTCTATCTCTTTTTCTACCTCCTATTTAAGGCAAATCACTTTTAGATTTGCCTTTTTCAAACTATTTTCTGGTTTCTGTAGTTAAGCCTCTTTTTTTTTTCTTGAGACAGTCTTACTTTGTCATCCAGGCTAGAGTGCAGTTATGTGATCTAGGCTCACTGCAACCTCTGCCTCCTGGGTTCAAGTTATTGTTGTGCCTCAGCCTCCTGAGTATCTGGGACTACAGGCACATGCTACCACACCCAGCTAATTTTTTCTTTCTTTTTTTTTTTTTAATTTTTAGTAGAGACAGGGTTTCACCATGTTGACCAGGCTGGTCTCAAGCTCCCAACCTCAGGTGATCCACCCGCCTTGGCCTCCCAAAGTATGCCTCACTTTTTAAAATTCTTTTTTCTTTTGTCTCCTTTGACTGTGTATTTTCAAATGGCTTGTCTTCAAGCTCATTATTTTTTCTTCTTCTTGATCCAGTCTTATATTAAAAGATTCTGATGCATTTTTCAGTATGCCAGTTGCATTTTTCAGCTCCAGAATTTTTGCTTGATTCGTTTTAGTAATTTCAGTCTCCTTGTTAAATTTATCTGATAGAATGCTGAATCCCTTCCTTTTGTTATCTTGAATTTCTTTGAGTTGCCTCAATATGGCTATTTTGAATTCTCTGTCTGAGGTGTCACATATGTCTGTTTCTTCAGGATTGGTTCCTGGTGCCTTAATTATTTCATTTAGTGAGGTCATGTTTTGCTGGATGGTGTTGTTGTTAGTATATGTTCTTTCATGTCTGAGCATTGAGGGGTTAGGTATTTATTGTAGTCTTCATTGTCTGTGCTTTTTTGTAGCTATTTTTCTTGGGAAGGATTTCCAGATATTTGAAAAAACTTGACTGCTGTGATGTAAGCTGTATTTGCTTTAGGGGACGCCCCAAGCCCAGTAACACTGTGGTTATTGCAGAATCTTAGAGGTACAACATTGGTGGTCTGGGACCAGATCCAGGAGAATTCTCTGGATTACCAGGCAGACTCTTAATTTTCCCTTACTGTCTCCCAAACATACAGAGTTTCTCCCTCTTTTTGGAGCCACCTTAAGATGGTGGTGGAGTGACATAAGCACCCCTGTGACCACCACTACTCTGACTGCACTGGGTCAGATCTGAAGCCAGCACAGCACTGGGTCTTACCCAAGACCTGCTGTAACCACTGCCTTGGTACTGTGTATATTCACTGAAGGCCCTGGGGCTCTACATTCAGCAAGTGGCAAAACCAGCCAGTCCTGTGTCCTTTCCTTCAGGGTTGCAAGGTCCCCCAGCCCTCAGGTTGGTCTAGAAGTGCCATCCTGGACTCAGGGGCTGAGAAGTCAAAAATCTTAGACATCTACCTGCTGTTCTATTGTATTGTAGCTTAGCTGGCAGTCAAACTACAAAATTCAGCCTTTCCCACTCTTCCCTCCCCTTTCCAAAGGCAGGGGAGCCTTGCCCCATAGCCACTGCCATTCCAGGCCATGAGGAGTACTGCCAGACTACCACCAATGTTTCCCTAAGGCCTACGGTCTCTTGAGTCAGCTTGCTGTGAATGCTGCCTGTCCCAGGATTCATCCTTCAAGGCAGTGGACTCCCCTCTGGCCCAAGGCAGGTCCAGAAATGCTGTCCAAGAGGCAAGTCCTAGAATCAGGAATCCTAAAAGCCTTCTTGGTTCCCTACCTCCTTGTGGCTGTGCTGGTATCTAAGGAGCAAGACAGAGTCCTATTTACTTTTCCCTCTGCTTTTCTCAAACAGAATGAGTTTTGCTTTGTAGCCATCACATCTGGTAATGTCTTGAGTCTTACCTGAAGCCAGTAAGTCCCACAGGCTCAACCAATGCCATTGATGTAGTACCTGGCTATTGCTGCTGGTTGTTCAGGGCCAAAGAACTCTTCAGTTAGCAGGTGATGAATGCTGCCAAGACTGAGTCCTTTCCTTCAAGGCAGCAGGCTCCCTTTTGGCCCAGAGTGTTTATATAAATGTCATCTTGGTGCCAGGGCCTGGAATGGGAGCCTCACAACTCTAACTAATGCCCTATCCTGCTATGGCTGAGCTGGTGTCCTAGATGTAAAACAAAGTCCTCCATACTCTTTCCTCTTTTTACCTGAAGCAGGAGGAAGCGGTCCCTTTTGGAGCCTCAAGCTGTGCAGCCTGGGGTTAGAGGAGGAATGATACCAGCACTCCCTTTGTTGCCCCAGCTGTTGTCTCAGTATGTCACGTATGCCCCCACTCCACTTTCTCTGGGCTTAGTTCAGCACTAGGACTCACCTAAGTGTTGTAGTCCTTATAGCCTAGACTTTGCCTTTCAAATTTACTTGGAGGCACAGAGTGCTCTGTCCCTCAGTGGCAAAGTTTACAAGCTCAAGTTCAGATCTCTGAGTCTGGCAATTACCTCCCGGCTAGGGCTGGTTTAAAAGTCTCCTCCTTGAGTGGACATCAGCTGAGTTTGGTCTGGTTTTCCTTTCTGCTCTAACAGGACAGCACCAAGTTTTATGCCTCACAATTGTTGTGTTCTCCCTCCTGTAGCACCCACAGAGGCTCTCCACACCACACCACCACTGCTGGGAGAAGGGGAGGGATGGTGTCAGCAATTCCGGACTTCAGAAAAAATATCTCTTCAGTGGGTCTTTCAGTGATATGAAGTTTAAACCAGATACTGTGAGTACTCACCTGATTTTTGGTTTTTATGAAGGTGCTTTTTGCTGCGTACATAGTTAACTTGTCCTTGCAGGAGGGATGATCGATGCAGCTTTCTGTTTCACCATCTCGCTCTGCCTCATGTAAAAAGTCCTGTAACCCATTATTTTAAACTGATGACAACTTAACGTTGATTACATAAACAAGCAAAATGAAAACTAATAAAACCTCTATATTAACTTTGTTCATTCTCTTTTTAACTTTTTTTCTTTTGTCTCATTGTATTGTTGATGTCTTGAAAGTTTTTGTAGTTATTATTTTTGATTTTTTTTTGTTTAGTCTTTCTACTTGGGATAATAGTTGTTTACACACCACAGTTCCAGTTTTATAATATTCTGTATTTTTCTGTGTGCTTTACTGTGAGTTTGTACCTTCAAATGATTATTTATTCCTCATTAACATCCTTTTCTTCCTCAGATTGAAGAATTCCCTTTATCATTTCCTGTAGAACAGGTCTGGTGTTGATGAAATCTCTTAGCTTTTGTTTGTCTGGGAAAGTCTTTGTTTCTCCTTGATGCTTAAAGGATATTTTTGCCAGATATACTATTCTAGGGTAAAAGTTATTTTCCTTCAGCACTTTAAATAGGTCATTCCACTCTCTCCTGGTCTGTATGGTTTCCACTGAAAAGTTGTCTGCCAGATGTATTAGCACTCCATTGTATGTTATTTGTTTATTTTCTCTTGCTGCTTTTAGGATTTCTTCTTCTTTTTTTTTTTTTTTTTTTTTTTTTTTTTTGAGACGGAGTCTCGCTCTGTCGCCCAGGCCGGACTGCGGACTGCAGTGGTGCAATCTCGGCTCACTGCAAGCTCCGCTTCCCGGGTTCACGCCATTCTCCTGCCTCAGCCTCCCCAGTAGCTGGGACTACAGGCGCCCGCCACCGCGCCCGGCTAATTTTTTGTATTTTTAGTAGAGACGGGGTTTCACCTTGTTAGCCAGGATGGTCTCGATCTCCTGACCTCATGATCCACCCGCCTCGGCCTCCCAAAGTGCTGGGATTACAGGCGTGAGCCACCGTGCCCGGCCTAGGATTTCTTCTTTATCTTTGACCTTTAAAAGTTTGATTATTAAATGCCTAGAGGTAGTCTTCTTGGGGTTAAATCTGCTTGGTGTTTCATAACCTTCTTGTACTTAAATATTAATGTCTTCCTCTAAGTTTGGAAAGTTCTCTTACTATTCCTGTGAATAAACTTAAAGATAAACCCCTTTATCTTTCTCTACCTCCTTTTTAAAGCCAATAACTCTTAGATTTGGCCTTTTGAGGCTACTTTCTAGGTATGATAGACATGCTTAATTCTTTTTTATTTTTTTTCTTTTTTCTTCTTTGACTGTGTATCTTCAAATAGCCTGTCTTCAAGCTCAATAATTCTTTCTTCTGCTTGATAAATTCTGCTATTAAGAGACTGATGAATTCTTCAGTATGTTAATTGCATTTGGCAACTCTGGACTTTCTGCTTGATTCTTTTTAATAATTTCAATCTCTTTGTTAAATTTATCTGATAGAATTCCAAATTCACTTTCTCTGTTATCTTGAATTTTTATTTTTTTTTAGTTTCTTCAACACAGCTATTTTTAATTATCTGTCTGAAATGTCACATATCTCTGTTCCTCTAGAATTGATCCCTGGTGCCTAATGTCTGTTCTCATGCTGCTGATAAGGACATACCTGAGACTGGGTAATTTATAAAGAAAAAGAGGTTTAATAGATGCACAGTTCCATGTGGCTGGGGAGGCCTCACAATTATGGTGGAAGGCAAAAGCCTTGTCTTACATGGTGGCAAACAAGAGATGATGAGAGACAAGAGAAAGGAGTTTCCCCTTATAAACCATCATATCTCATGAGACTTATTCACTACCACAAGAACAGTATGGGGGAAATTGCCCCCATGATTCAGTTAACTCCCACCGGGTTCCTCCCACAACATGTGAGAATTCTGGGAACTACAATTATGGTGAGATTTGGGTGGGGACACAGCCAAACCATATCACCTTATTTAGTTCATTTGGTGAGGTCATTTTTTCTTGGGTGATCTTGATGCTTGTAGATATTCACTGTTGCCTGAGCAATTAACAGTTAGGCATTTTTTGAGGTCTTCACAGCCTGCGCTTGTTTGTGCCCATCCTTCTTGGGAAGGCTTTCCAGGTATTTGAAGGGACTTGGGCCCCAAACCCAGTAATGCTGTGGCTCTTGTAGACTTGTGGAGGTACTGCCTTTGTGGATTTGCATGAGTTTTGTAAGAATTACCTGGATTACCAGGCATAAACTCTTGTCTTTTACCTTCACTTTCTCTCCACAAAACAAGGTCTTTCTCTCTGTGCTGAGCCTTTTGGAACTGGGGGTGAGAGGACACAAGCATTCCTATGACCACCACCAGTGGGACTACATTGGTTTAGACCTGAAACCAGCACAGCACTGGGTCTCTCTCAGGGTCTGCTGTTACCACTACCTAGCTACCACTTAAGTTTACTGGAGGCTACAGGGCTCTACAATTAACATGTGGTAAAGCCAGCCAGATTAGTGTCCCTCCCTTCAGGGTGGCAAATCCCCACAGGCCCCAGATGAGTTCAGAGATGCTGTCTGAGAGCCAGAAATTGAATTCAAAAACCTTAGAAATTTATCTGGTATTCTACTTTGTCTAAGCTGGCACTTAAACCATAAGACAAAATTTGTTCCACTCTTCCCTACCCTTTCCACAGTCAGAGGAGCCTCTCCCTGTGCCCACTACCACCACTGATCCATATGGTTTTTGCCAAGCTAGTACTGATGTTTGCTTAAAGCCCAAGGGCTCTTTAGTCAGTTTGTGATAAATGCTGCCACGCCTCGGACTCGCCCTTCAGGATAGTGGGCTCCCATCTGGCCCAGGGCAGGCCCAGAAATGCTGACCAAGAACCTAGGCTTGGACTTAGGGATCCCAAGAACATGTTTGGTGCTCTATTCCACAGCAGTTGAACTGGTGCCTAAGATGTTAAACAGAATCCCCTTATATTTTTTCTCTGCTTTTCTCAAACAGAAGGGATCTTTTATTGTAGCCACCACAGCTGTGAATGTGCTGGGTCACATCTGAAGCCAGAACATCTCAGAGTCCAAGCCCACAGTGAATTAACTGGGTATAACTCTTGGTTATTCAGAGCCCAGGGCCTCTTCAGTCTGCAGGTGATGAATCCTTTCAGGTCTCTGCTGTTACAGGGCAGCATTGACTTCAATGGAAAGCCTCCAGTTGCTGTGTTCTCCCTCTCCCAAGCTCACAGATTTCTCTGTGCCACGTGGCTGCTGCTGGGGTATGGGGAAGTGTGGAGTAAGTGCTCCCTTAGCTGTCCTGGCTGGTGTCTTAGTAGGTAATGATTCCTCTCATTCCACTGGGT
This sequence comes from Homo sapiens, assembly GCF_000001405.40. NCBI lineage: Eukaryota > Metazoa > Chordata > Mammalia > Primates > Hominidae > Homo > Homo sapiens. The sequence continues at coordinate 132,866,985 of NC_000004.12, read as the reverse complement.
CTCAGCCCCAGATCAGCCATACAACTTGCCTAGGAATTACATTCCTTGTGGCCATGAAGTTCACCTAGGGCCACAGAGTGCTCTAGCCCATGGTGGCAAGGCTCGCCAGAACTCAAGCTCCAACTACTGGGACGGGCGATTCCCCTCTGGCTAAGGGCTGTTTCAAAGCTCCCTCTTCGGGCAGACACAGCCTGCTTCTGCTTTCTGCTGTGACAGGGCAGCACTGAATTCAATGCCAAGCCTAATAGTCACTTGGCTTTCTCTCTCCCAAGTGCACAGATTCTCTGTGCCACATGGCCCCTGCCAGGGGATGGGAGAGGAATATTATTGACACTTCAATGTCTCTTTCTGTGATATGAAGATAAAACCAGGTACTGTGATTGCTCACCTAATTTTTAATTCTTGTGATGGTACATTTGTGTGTAGTCAGTTGTTAAAATTTATGTTCCTGGATAGGGGGACAAATGGTGTTGTCTTTTATTTGGCCATCTTTCTCCACCTCCCCTATTTGTTTTCTCCAGGATTAATGAAAGAAGCCAGCAATCTATATCTTTAATTAAAATAGAAACATATCAAAGATATTCTGTTAACTATTCTTAAGCCAACTTTGTTGTCATTTTTTCCTCAGCTTTTCAAGAATATGATTTTTCCTACATATTATACGGTTAGTTTCTGGCCCAATAATCTTTTGTTCTCCGATAGACTTTGTATTTTTTTTTGCTTGGCCAATATGGAGGGATGTAGGGTGCTTTCTAAATGGCAGCAACAATAATAGGAAATAGGAAGAGAAATCAGATTATTGAAAGCTAAGGGCAGAAGAGATACTCTTGTATAAACTTTAGCTAACCATTCATTACTACATCTTGCTGACTCAGCATTTGAAATCAGTGAAACAATTTATTGAGGCCCTAAATGGGACCTACTAAAGAGCAAAATTAAGTGCCCAAAAGAATGGATTCTACTAGTTACTATGATTAATCTTTCATAGCCATAGGTAGTGAAACCTTAGAAACTAGATAATTTTTCTACTACGGTCTGATTTCTGGATGATTTTTGATTATCTGAGGTCCTTATAGATATGTAAAGGAGTCACTTTATTCTGTATCCCCAGGTCCAAGTGAAATTTCTAACATTTGATCATTTTAAAATCTTTCTTTTTACTTCTATAAAGCAAAATGTCTTAATATCCTTAACTGCAATTCCAAGACTAACAGTGTTTCCTTTATCACTACCATCAACTATATGTCCAGCTTTAGTGTGGAGAAACCTTAGTAGAACATTCCTATCTATAGGTGAAGTCAGTTAAATACCACAGTAGAAAATACCTGGGGTATGAATGTGTATATTTTTTTGTTTTGTTACATTATTCAGACCAAACCATGAAATAACAATGACTTCTGTGAAGGTAACGTGTATGTGCCTGCATGCCTGTGCATGTTTGAGTTTTTATTCTTTTGGATGGATCTAGCCAAGGTTTAGCTCTCCTTATGAATTAAACACCTTTTAAATTTCTCTTTAACTAGTTTTATTAATATAAAAAGATAGATGAGTAGTTTTGGAGGTAAAACTGAAAGCAGAATGTGTATGTTCCTATAAGGCTTATTGTCTACTAGGAAAACACACGAGCTATATATCACAGGGATTAGTTAATTAATTTCTGTGACATAAGAAATATTAAATTCCATTGGGGTTCCTTCACTTTGAAAATACAAGAGACTCTAACTTAATTATCTTAGGGAAGAATATTGTCCAGAGACCTTTCTTTGTTAAGATAACAAAAGCTGGCCTGGCGCAGTGGCTCATGCTTGTAATCCCAGCACTTTGGGAGGCTTAGGCCGGCGGATCACCTGAGGTCAGGAGTTCAAGATGAGCCTGGCCAACATGGTGAAACCCCATCTCTACTAAAAATACAAAATTAGCCAGGCGTGGTGGCGCTTGCTTGTAATCCCAGCTACTCGAGAGGCTGAGGCAGGAGAATCTTGAACCCGGGAGATGAAGGTTGCAGTGAGTGGAGATTGCACCACTGCAGTCCAGCCTGGATGACAGAGTGAGACTCCATCAAAAAAAAAAAAAAAAAGATAACAAAAGCTGAAATCTGAAAGAAATACAAGAGTGAACAAATGAAAAGAGATAAAAAGCTTTCCAGACAAAATCTGGATGAGTATATACCCAGGAGCTACAAAGGCAACACAAACAAGACATGCAGTTTTTCAGTGGCAGTTTTGGGATGCTTTTCACCTGGTTGTTATGAGATCATGTAGAAATATGCAGGCTGCCTGAAAGGCCCTAAGTAATCCACTCACCCCTGCTGTGGGCTATGCAATTTCAATTGGAAAATAATGGACACAAGATAAAGCAATGGCCTCTTTAATCAAAGAACATAGGAAGAGTGGCAGAGAGAAAAGAACATACCCAAATTGCAACAACAGGGACTCTGCCTCTGCCCATCAACTCATCTTTAAATGTGTAAGCTAAGGCCAAGGCAGTTGGCCAAACTCCAGGTAATCATTAATAATAAAAAGAACTGACTTTCATTAGAGATGAAAATGTAAGTTTACACAGAAATAATAGGAGTTATTGGAAGAACAAAATCATTATGAAACAAATAAAAAATTGAATAATATACAAATAAAAGTAAAAGAAAACTGATATAACGGGATGACAATAATTAAAGAAATAAGCATAATAAATATCTTCAGAAAAATAAGGAGGATATTGAATACACCAAAGGTTGTTATAAGTAGGAATTCAGAGATACTGAAAATAAGAATCAAATTATTAGGAAAAAAAGAATAATTAGATTGCATAATAAATGGACATAGTCAATTTTTTTCCTTATTAAGGCATATTTATACAATAAAATACAATAAAGTTAAGTGTATAGTTTGATGAAATTTGACAATGTTATGCTTACATGTAACCATCACTGAAAAAAGAGAAATATTTTTATAAAACCTCATAATACTCTGTACCCTTTCAGTCAATGCAGTGCCCCCTACCTCACCACAAACATGCACGCAAATCTGAATTTAATTACCAGTTATTAGTTTTATCTGATTTATATCATATAAATATCATTATACAGTATGTACTATTAGTGTGTAACTTTTTTCATTCAAAACAATACTTTTGAGATTCATCCAAGTTGCATAAGTAATTTACTTTAATTGCTGACTGGTGTTTTATTTTATTGATTGCTGCAATGCATTCTTTCATTCTTTTGTTGATGGAAATTTGTGTTTGGATATTATGCCAAATGTTTCTGTGTACCTTCTTAAACTATTATTTGTCCTCATTAGTTTGGCTTTTTAATATTATTTTTGTCTTATTGAATCAAAACTTTGGCATGCAGAACATTATTAGAAACACACACAGCCTCCTCTACTATCAACATCACAGTGGTACATTTGTTGCTGAAGGACCTCTTGGTTGCCACCAAGTTTTGACAACTATGAATAAAGCTGCTATAAATATCCATGAGCGGGTTTGTGTGGGGCCATCAGTTTTCAATTCCTTTATGTAAATACCAAGGAACATAATTGCTGCATAATATTCCAATAGTATGCTTAGTTTTGTGAAAAAACATGCCAAAATGTCTTCAAAGGTGGCTGTATGTTTTTGCATTCCTACCAGCAATGAATTAGAGTTACTGTTCTTCTGCATTCCTGCCAGTATTTGGTATTGTCAGAGTTTTGGGTTTTGGCCATTCAAATAGGCATGTTGTGGTATCTTTTTATTATTTTAATTTGCAATTCCCTAATGGCATACGATATTTCATATTGTTTATATGATTACTTGCCATTTGCATTGCTACTTTGATGATGTCTTAGTTCATGTAAACTTAGACTATGTTTGTCAATACCCACTAAATTACTTTCTGGGATTATGAATCCCAGAATTGGATTGAATCTACATTGAATCTATAGATGAGTTAGGAAGAAATGACATCTTGACAATATTGTCTTCCTATCCATAAATATGAAATATCTCTCCATTTATTTAGTTATGATATGATATCTTTCATTATTTTTTAGTTTTTCTCATATAGATCTTGTACACTTTTTAAAAATTATAACTATTATATATATACACATACATATTTGCTGTTTATATAAATGGTAATGTGTCTTTAATTTTACATTGTACTTACTTATTCCTACTATATAGGAAAGAAATTAACTTTTGTACGTTAAACTTGTATCTTGCAGCCTTGATATAATTGGTTATTCATTCCGGGATGGGTTTTTTACGTCCTCCCCATGAGGACGTGGCAGAGCCCCTGGTGATAAAGCTCACAGATGTGTGCAGGCTCCTTAATAATTGGGTCTCCCTGGAGTTTTTACCTCTCAGAGTTGTCTACAATGTTCCTCCAGAAATTCATCAATTACAGTTTGTTTTCTTACCTTGGCATTGGTTCCCCTGGAGGTTTCTACTTGTGGGCTTTTGCACAAATAGGTTGTAATTTTCTGTATCTGAGGTGAGAAACACTTGTGAAGGTCACAGCTCAGAAAAACAGGTCGACTAAAAGACTGTGGATTGATTATAAAATTATAGAATGCTTCCCGTCACCCACTCCTTACCCCACACCACATCAACAGGGCTTCATTATAATGAAAGTGGACTACACCTAAAAGAGCTCCAAGGCACAGATTCTATTTTAAAAAAAGATTTTAGGGAGAGCCAAAATACAACAAGAGAAACAAAAACGAAGACACTGGAAGAATTTGAAGCCTTTGGCACCTACAGTTATGATAAACATCAAACACAGCCCAACCCCCAAACAAATTAACTAGAAAACATCACATTAATGGCCTATACTCTACGTTCCTATTACTGAAGTCATCGTGTCTGGCTTTCAATAAAAATAAAAAATATTAAAGAAAAGAAAAAAATCCAAAATCTTAAGAGATAATGCAAACATCAAAAACAGACTCGGATATGACACAAATACTAGAATTATCACACAATCATTACTATAATTAATATGTTAAGAACTGTACTGGAATTGAGATATAATATGGAAGAACAGATGGGTTTTGTGAGCAGAGAGGTAGAAGCTCCAAGAAAAAATAAAAACCACTAACATAATTCCTTTGATGGGCACATCAGAAGACTGGAAATGGCCAAGGAATTAATAAGTGAGTTTGAAGATATGTCAAAAACACTTCCGTAAGTGAATTGCAAAGAGATGATAAAAAAAAATACAAAAGAATATCTAAGACTGTGGGGTAATTTCAAAAAGTATAACATATGCATAATTAAAATGCTGGAAGGAGAAAAAGAGAACAGAGCTGAAAAATTATTTGAAGTAATAATGGCCAAGAATTTTCCAAACTTAGTGACAAACCTGTCATCTTAGATTTTGTGATGAGTCTTTAAATATGACAGCAATAGCGCAATCTATGGAAGAAAAATTGTCAAGTTGAATTTTATTAATATTAAAAACATCTGCTCTGTGAAAGCCAAAATTAAAATTATCAAAAAAACAAGCCAAAACCTGAGAAAGAATATTTGCAAAACATATATCTGATAAGGGGCTTGTATCCAAAATATACAAAGAACCTACAAAACTGACAAATAAGAAAAATAAAAGACAATTAAAAATGGATAAATATATAAATTGACATTTCATCAAAGAAGATACAACAGGGCAAATAAGCATATGAAAAAATTATATTTTATTAGGTAATTTCAAAGTAAAACCACAATGAAATACCATTACACATGTATGGTCATGCATTGATTAACAATGGAGATACACATTCTGAGAAATGCATCAGTAGATGATTTGGTTGTAGTGCAAACATCATAGAATGTGCTTATGTAAACCTAGCTGGTATGGACTACTACACACCTAGACTATGTGGTATAGCCTGTTGTTCCTAGGCTACAAATCTGTACAGCATGTTATTGTACTGAATTCTGTAGGCAATTGTAACACAATGGTAAATATTTGTGTATCTAAACATATAAAAGATACAGTAAAAATATGATATTATAATCTTATGGGACTACCATCACATATCCAGTTTGTCATTAACTAAAACACCCTTATGTAGTGTGTGGCTGCATTAAAATGGCTAAAGTCTAAAATACAATTCCAACTGCTGATGAGAATCCAGGGCAACAGGAACTCTCATTCATTACTGGTTGGAATGAAAAGTGGAATGGTCATTTGGAAATAGTTTTGCTATTCATGTGAAGCTAAACA